>NC_000007.14:85537082-85840112 GCF_000001405.40 Homo sapiens
TAGTAAGGATTGTATTTGAAAAATATTTAGAACCATTTTTGCTACATTAAAAAACTAATTTTAATGAAACTAACACACAGAGGAAGGGAATAATGAGGAAATCTTAGATAAATGGAGCTTTATGTCATTGTACATCTCTGAAATAAGACTCAGCTTTATTCACAAATAATTCAGTTTGGATTAGTATTTCTGTTACTATTGTCTGTAAAGTAGTCTAACTGGGCAAAAACTGTTCACTTTAAATATGATTTTGATGCAGTAACAAATCACAGGGTACATTATGTTAGTAACTTTTTTATAAAATATAAAAGATCAAAAGCAAAATGTGATATACTTTCTTAAGCAGGATATAAATTTCATTAGAATGTATATATATTAGTTATTTGTCTTTATTAGGAATATGACTGACTGTGGCTATTTGTCACACCAGTAGCTAAAATGTGGATTACCTCAGAAAAAAAGCCAAGTAGGAAGAACAATATTTGAGGGACTTGCTTAGGAAGAGAAAATGTGAATTAAATACTTCAATTAATTATTTCATCAATCTTTAGAATGGTTGAGAAATTCAGTCAATAAAACTCTATTCACGACACCATACAATCATGTCATAAATATGCTAAAATAATAGCTTATAAATTGTGAAGGACAGATTTGCATTTCCATTAAGCTGTCTCTCTTAAAGGACTTTGTAGCAGTAATTGATTTATATGTCTTATCTTAGCCATAGCCCTTTTTACACGAATCTAATTCTTTCTGTCTCCAAAAATATTTCGTATAAAGTTTGATTGCCTCAAGACGTACAATCTCATCAAAGAAAAGTGGTTTTTTTTTCCAATACTATTTTGTATTATCGTTTATGGGGCTCAAGGAACCTATCACAGTAAAATTATTACTTTATGTTTTGGTGAGCTAGTCTTTATTTGGTGAGCTAGTTTTCCATACTGTATAGATATTCAACTCATTAACTCTTATTTTATAAAATGAATATACTTTATTCTCAGAAATTTTTTCTTGCAAGCATCTTTTAACCTTTCTACAGGAGATAATTTATATATTTATAAAAATACCATAAATATTATCACAATATCTACAAATCTCTAAGCAAATAAGAGAACTGGAGAAAAGTGTTGATATTCTTTCTTTTTTATGCTATTTTATAATAATTTCTTTTTCATTAAAGAGTTGAAGTTTTACAATATAGCTAGAGATTTTCTAGAAATTTTTGTCTGTTTTGTATAAGGTGTAAGGAAGAGATCCAGTTTCAGCTTTCTACATATGGCTAGCCAGTTTTCCCAGCACCATTTATTAAATAGGGAATCATTTCCCCATTTTTTGTTTTTGTCAGGTTTGTCAAAGATCAGATGGTTGTAATTGTGTGGTGTTATTTCTGAGGACTCTGTTCTGTTCCATTGGTCTATATCTCTGTTTTGGTACCAGTACCATGCTGTTTTGGTACTGTAGCCTTGTAGTATAGTTTGAAGTCAGGTAGTGTGATGCCTCCAGATTTGTTCTTTTGGCTTAGGGTTTGTCTTGGCAATGCAGGCTCTTTTTTGGTTCCATGTGAACTTCAAAGTAGTTTTTTTCCAATTCTGTGAAGAAAGTTATTGGTAGCTTGATGGGGATGGCATTGAATCTATAAATTACCTTGGGCAATATGGCCATTTTCATGATATTGATTCTTTCTATCCATGAGCATGGAATGGTCTTCCATTTGTTTGTGTCTTCTTTTATTTCATTGAGCAGAGGTTTGTAGTTCTCCTTGAAGAGGTCCTTCACATCCCTTGTAAGTTGGATTCCTAGGTATTTTATTCTATTTGTAGCAATTGTGAATGGAAGTTCACTCATAATTTGGTTCTCTGTTTGTCTGTTATTGGCATATAGGAATGCCTGTAATTTTTGCACATTGATTTTGTATCCTGAGACTTTGCTGAAGTTGCTTATCAGCTTAAGGAGATTTTGGGCTGAGACAGTGGGGTTTTCTAGATATACAATCATGTCATCTGCAAACAGGAACAATTTGACTTCCTCTTTTCCTAATTGAATACCCTTTATTTCTTTTTCTTGCCTGATTGCCCTGGCCAGAACTTCCAACACTATGTTGAATAGGAGTGGTGAGAGAGGGCATCCCTGTCTTGTGCCAGTTTTCAAAGGGAATGCTTCCAGTTTTTGCCTATTCAGTATGATATTGGCTGTGGATTTGTCATAAATAGCTCTTATTATTTTGAGATACATTCCATCAATACTTAGTTTATTGAGAGTTTTTGGCATGAAGGGCTGTTGAATTTTGTAGAAGGCCTTTTCTGCACCTATTGAGATAATCATGTGGTTTTTGTAGTTGGTTCTGTTTATGTATTGGATTATGTTTATTGATTTGTGTATGTGGAACCAGCCTTCCATCCCAGGGATGAAGCCAACTTGATTGTGGTGGATAAGCTTTTTGATATGCTGCTGAATTTGGTTTGCCAGTATTTTATTGAGGATTTTCGCATCGATGTTCATCACGGATATTGGTCTAAAATTCTCTTTTTTTGTTGTGTCTCTGCCAGGCTTTGGTATCAGGATGATGCTGGCCTCATAAAATGAGTTAGGGAGGATTCCCTCTGTTACTATTGATTGGAATAGTTTCAGAAGGAATGGTATCAGCTCCTCTTAGTACCTCTGGTAGAATTCGGCTGTGAATCCATCTGGTCCTGGACTTTTTTTGGTTGGTAGGCTATTAATTATTGCCTCAATTTCAGAACCTGTTATTGGTCTATTCAGAGATTCAACTTCTTCCTGGTTTAGTCTTGAGAGGGTGTATATGTCTAGGAATTTATCCATTTCTTCTAGAATTTCTAGTTTATTTGGGAAGAGGTGTTTATAGTATTCTCTGATGGTAGTTTGTATTTCTGTGGGATTGGTGGTGATATCCCCTTTATCATTTTTTATTGCATCTATTTGATTCTTCTCTATTTTCTTCTTTATTAGTCTTGTTAGCAGTTTATCTATTTTGTTTATCTTTTCAAAAAACCAGCTCCTGGATTCATTGATTTTTTGAAGGTTTTTTGTGTCTCTATCTCTTTCAGTTCTGCTCTGATCTTAGTTATTTCTTGCCTTCTGCTAGCTTTTGAATTTGTTTGCTCTTGCTTCTCTATTTCTTTTAGTTGTGATGTTAGGGTGTCAATTTTAGATCTTTTCTGCTTTCTCTTGTGGGCATTCAGTGCTATAAGTTTCCCTCTACGCACTGCTTTAAATGTGTCCCAGAGATTCTGGTATGTTGTGTCTTTGTTCTCACTGGTTTCAAAGAACATCTTTATTTCTGCCTTCAATTCGTTATTTACCCAGTAGTCATTCAGGAGCAGGATTCAGTTTCCATGTAGTTGTGTGGTTTTGAGTGAGTTTCTTAATCCTGAGTTCTAATTTGATTGCACTGTGGTCTGAGAGACAGTTTGTTGTGATTTCTGTTCTTTTACATTTGCTGAGGAGTGCTTTACTTCCAACTATGTGGTCAATTTTGGAATAAGTGTGATGTGGTGCTGAGAAGTATGTATATTCTGTTGATTTGGGGTGGAGAGTTCTGTAGATGTCTATTAGGTTGGCTTGGTGCAGAGCTGAGTTCAAGTCCCGGCTACCCTTGTTAACCTTCTGTCTCATTGATCTGTCTAATATTGACAGTGGAGTATTAAAATCTCACATTGTTATTGTGTGGGAGTCCAGGTCTCTTTGTAAGTCTCTAAGGACTTGCTTTATGAATCTGGGTGCTCCTGTATTGTATGAATATATATTTAGGATAATTAGCTCTTCTTTTTGAATTGATCCCTTTACCATTATGTAGTGGCCTTCTTTGTCTCTTTTGATCTTTATTGGTTTAAAGTCTGTTTTATCAGAAACTAGGATTGCAACCCCTGCTTTTTTTTTTCTTTCCATTTGCTTGTTAGATCTCCCTCCATCCCTTTATTTTGAGCCTACATGTGTCTCTGCACGTGAGATGTGTCTCCTGAATATAGCACACTGATAGGTCTTGACTCTTTACCCATTTTGACAGTCTGTGTCTTTTAATTGGGGCATTTAGCCCATTTACATTTAAGGTTAATATTGTTATGTGTGAATTTGATCCTGTCATTATGAAGTTAGCAGGTTATTTTGCCCGTTAGTTGATGCAGTTCTTTCCTAGCATTGATGGTTCTTTACAATTTGGCATGTTTTTGCAGTGGCTGGTACCGGTTGTTCCCTTCCATGTTTAGTGCTTCCTTCAGGAACTCTGTAAAGCATGCCTGGTGGTGACAAAATTTCTCAGAGTTTGCTTCTCTGTAAAGGATTTTATTTCTCCTTCACTTATGAAGCTTAGTTTGGCTGGATATGAAATTCTGGGTTGAAAATTCTTTTCTTTAAGAATGTTCAATATTGACCCCCCACTCTTCTGGCTTGCAGAGTTTTTGCTGAGAGATCCACTGTTAGTCTGATGGGCTTCCCTTTCTGGGTAACCCAACCTTTCTCTCTGGCTGCCCTTAACATTTTTTTCTTCATTTCAGCCTTGGTGAATCTGACAATTATGTGTCTTGGGGTTGCTCTTCTCGAGGAGTATCTTTGTGGTGTTCTCTGTATTTCCTGAATTTGAATGTTGGCTTGCCTTGCTAGGTTGGGGAAGTTCTCCTGGTTAATATCCTGAAGAGTGTTTTCCAACTTGGTTCCATTCTGCCAGTCACTTTCATGTACACCAATTAAATGTAGATTTGGTCTTTTCACATAGTCCCATATTTCTTGGAGGCTTTGTTCGTTCATTTTAACTCTTTTTTCTCTAAAATTCTCTTCTTGCTTCATTTCGTTTATTTGATCTTCAATTACTGATACCCTTTCTTCCACTTGATCAAATCAGCTACTGAAGCTTTTGCATGCATCACGTAATTTTTGTGCTATGGTTTTTAGCTCCATCAGGCCATTTAAGGTCTTCTCTACACTGTTTATTGTAGTTAGCCATTTGTTTAATCTTTTTTTCAAGGTTTTTAGCTTCCTTGTGATGGGTTTGAACATCCTCCTTTTGCTCGGAGAAGTTTGTTATTACCGACCTTCTGAAGCCTAATTCTGTCAGCTCATCAAAGTCATTCTCCATCCAGGTTTGTTCCGTTGCTGGTGAGGAGTTGCAATCCTTTGGAGGAGAAGAGGCACTCTGGTTTTTAGAATTTTCAGCTTTTCTGCTCTGGTTTCTCCCCATCTTTGTGGTTTTGTCTACTTTTGGTCTTTGATGTTGGTGACCTACAGATGGGGCTTTGGTGTGGATATCCTTTTGTTGATGTTGATGCTATTCCTTTCTGTTTGTTAGTTTTCCTTCTAACAGTCAAGTCTCTCAGCTGCAGGTCTGCTGGAGTTTCCTGCAGATCCACTCCAGACCCTGTTTGTCTGGATATCACCCGCAGAGACTGCAGAACAGCAGATATTGCAGAACAGTAAATATTGCTGCCTGATCCTTCCTCTGGAAGCTTTGTGCCAGAGGGGCACCTAGCTGTACGAGGTGTCAGTTGGCCCCTACTGGGAGGTGTCTCCCAGTTAGGCTACACGGGGGTCAGTGACCCACTTGAGGAGGCAGTCTGTCCATTCTCTGAGCTGAAACACTGTGCTGGGAGAACCACTTGTCTATTCTTTTACCAATACCACACTATTTTAATTACTGTAGCTTTATAGTAAGTAAATTTTACAGTCAGGTAGTGTTAGACTTAACTTTGTTCTTCAATATTGTGGTGGGTAGTCTGGGACTTTTGCTGTATACTTAAACTTCAGAATAATTGTGCCTATTTCTGCAAAGTAACTTAAGATTGCATTGAATCTATATATCAAGTTGGGTGGAACTGATATCTTGACAATATTGAGCCTTTATCCATGAACATGGAATATCTTTCCATTTAGTTCTTTTGGATTTTTTTCATCAGAGTTTTGTAGTTTTACACATATACATTTTGCACATTTTTCTTATATTTATAAGTGATGCTTTTTGGTGCTAATGTAAATAATATATGTTTTAAATTTTGAATTCTAATTTTGTTTATTGTTGATATATGGGAATGATTGATTTTGTGTATATCCTTATATCCTGTAATCTTGCTGTAATTGCTTATTAGTGATATTGGGATGTTTTTGGTCTATTCTTTCACATTTTCTACATAGACAATCATGTCATCTGTGAACAAAGACAGTTTTATTTCTTCTTTCCCCTTATGTATACCTTTTGTTTCCTTTTCTAATCTTATTGCATTAGCTTGTACTTTCATTATAATGTTGAAAACTAGTGGTGAGAGGGGACATCAATGCTTTGTAGTAAATATTAGCATGAAAGCTCTTAGTTTCTGAACATTTAGCTTAATGTTTACTGTAGGAATTTTATAGATATTCTTGATTAAGTTGAAGAAGTTTTCTTCTATTCCTAGTTTACTGAGACTTCTATTTATCATAAACAGGTGTTAGATTATGTCAAATGCTTTTGAAATTATCGTGTGACTTTTCTTCTTTACATCAGTTGATTTCCAAGTGTTGTATCTGCCTTGATATCTAAGATAAATTCCACTTGGTTATTGTGTATAATGTTTTATACATTGTTGGATATGATTGGTCATATTTTGTTGAGGATTTTGCATTTATTTTTATTTGAGATATTAGTCTGTTGTTTTCTTGTCTTGTGATGTTTTTGCCCGGTTTTGGTAGCAGGGCATTAGCCTCATAGAATGATTTAGAAAATATTACTTCTACCTTGTGAAGTAGCATATAGAGAATTGCTATAATTTCTTTATTGGAAGTTTGGTAGAAATCAGCAGTGAAAGCATCTGTGCCTGTGCTTTCTGCTTTAGATCTTTAATTATGGATTCAATTTCTTTAATAAATACAAGCCACTTAAAATTGTATGTTTTTTCTTGTGTGAGTTTTGGCAGATTATGCCTTTCAAGGAAATTTTTTTATTTCTTATAACTTATCAAATTTGTGGGAATCATGTTGTTCACAGTATTCCTTTATAATCTTGTTAATATACATGAGTTATATAGTGATGTCTTTTCTTTCATTTCTGATATGAGTATTACAGCTACGTTTTTCTACCCTAGCTAGAGGCGTACTGACTTTATTCATCTTTTCTAATAAGTAGCTTTGGTTTTCTTGATTTTCTGTTTTTAATCTTATTGATTCTTGCTCTAATTTTTATTATTTTGTTTCTTCTGCTTACTTTGGATTAATTTTCTTATTTCCTAGTTTTCAAAGATAAAGTTGTGGTGATTTATTTTGGATATTTCTTCTTCTCTAATATATGTACTCAATGCCATAAATTTTCCTCTAAGCACTGATTTGCTGCATCTCACAAATTTTTGATCAGTGGTGTTTTTATTTTTATTCAGCTTACATTATTTTTGAAATGTGTATTCTGCTGTTGTTGGATTTAAAAAAATATAGAGATATCTGTTATATCCAGTTGACTGATGATGTTGCTGGGTTCAGCTAAATCCTCACTGATTTTCTGCTAGCTGCATATGTCCATTTCTGATTAAAAAAAAAAGTCTGGGTTTATTTATTTCTCATTTTAGTTTTTGCCGCACAAATACTGATGCTCTGTTGTTAAGCATGTACACCCTAAAGATTTCTGTCTTCTTGGAGAATTGACCCCATTATTATTATATAACTTTCCTTGCTCTGAAATCTGCTGTGTCTGAAATTAATATAGTTACTCCTACTTTGTTTTGATTAGCGTTAGCATGGCATATCTTTCTTCCTCTATTTACTTTAAATCAACTTGTTTCTTTATATTTAAAGTGGATATCTTATACACAGTACATAGTTGGGTCTTTTTTTAATTCACTCACAGTCTCTGTCTTTTATTTGGTGTATCTAGGTCACCGTAATTAATCATGTTGTTGGATTCGTATTTATCATATTCATTACTGTTTTCTATGTGTTGCCTTCACCTTTGGCTTCTATTATTGTCTTACACTTTTTTTCTGCTTTTTATGGTTATAATAAGGCATATCATAAAATTCCACTTTTCTTAACATATCAGTTGTACTTTTTTTTTAAATTACTTCCTTAGGAAATTTTAATTCCTTTCTCTCCATTCATCTACTATAATGTAAGGAGTGTGTACATGTGTGTATGTCAATATCAATAAATATATGTTAAATGGATTAATTGAAGTAATTAAAGTAAGCTCTGGCACACAATTGTCCTTTGTAATAAGTACATCAAAAAACCATAATTCAGGTGAACTGAAAAATAATTAATTTAGTGTTACTCATGTGTAAGGTATTATTTTTTAGTGTTGCAATCCCATTATGCGTCTATTTGATTTTAACTCCTCACATAGGTTCTAAATTTCTAAATCAAATAGACGACATACTTTTGACACTGCTGATACTGGCTTATTCCTTAATTATTCCTACAATTAGCCTATAAGATTCATGAAGCACAATTCATACCCAGTACAATAGAATTTGGCACATAACTTTGCAATTGGTCAATTATATACCTGTGTCTTTAATCCCTGAGAGCAGAATGATGAATATTTGAGCCCCAGTATATCATATATACATGTAATTAATTTTTAAAAGGTAGTTCAATATTCAAATTTATTGCAAAGTGGCCAAGACAGTGCAAGTGTTGACGACTTATAAATAGAACTACATTGACTATTTACATTAGGTTCTTGAGGATTGAAATAACATTCTTCTGTTTTTCCTAATAAATGACAGGCTTATATACATAGACTTGAGTTAAAAATTGACCAATATTAACTGCCATGAGCCCGTGGTGAACAAATTATTGCTGTCATCTCAAACACAATAATTAATAGATTAATTACTAGGATTTACCAAAATGGCTTTTTGAAGATCTATTTTTAATGTTCTTTTCTGTTAAAAGCAGCTTACACAAGTTTCCTAAATCTATACTGCCACTAATGATAGTACCACAGCATCTTAGTATAAAATTTCTGGAGTTTGAATGTTTGCCCCCTCCAAAATTCACGTTGAAATTTAATTGTCATTGTAAAAGTATTAAGATATGAGACCTTTAAGAGGTGATTAGGCCACCCAGTATTATGGGTGGAATTAATGCCATTATGAAAGAATGAATTTGGTTCCCTTTTTCCTCTGTGTCCTTTGGCCATGTAATGAGACAACAAGAAAGCCCTTGTCAGATGTCACCATCTTTATATTGGACTTTCCAGCCTTCAGGTCTGTAAGCTATTACATTTCCATTCATTATAAGTTACCTAGTCTTGGTATTCTGGTACAGTAGCACAAAACAGATTAAGACAAAAAATGTTCCCTCATATTTATATAAGAACGAATAGTCTTCCTTTTAGTTCTTTTATTTCAATGATCAAGATTTGCTCACCCATCTGCCAATTCTAGTCTTGCTGTGTTATGTATTGATTAAAACAGTTGTACTTAGTTGAAACATTGGAACTCATAGGGCAGTAAACATACATAACAAGACAGTATTGAATCTGTGGTATTCGTTATAACTAAGGAACTATGTAGAGGCCAATTACTCTCACCAAATCACGCCCATAAAAGTAGCTTAACTATAAAAGGAAAATTTGATATTTGAGATACTGGTCTTTCAGGTCAAAGTAATTATACAGTCAAATTATGTCCATAATCTTGGGAAACTTATAGCATAAACTGCATAAATGATAACTACATGTTCTAGAATATATGCAAGTTTTTGTAATGCAAACATAGTAAGAAAACTGTTAGCAAACTTTATTTTCCCTAGGAAAATTATTCAAAATTATGTCATGTAAAATATGATATTTGAATTTGAATGTCATAAACAGGTGTAAAATATATGGGAAAACACAATGCAATTTTGATATACATAAGAATTCAAAATTTAAAACCTAGCTTATAATTAAATTTTAGCAACGTTATCTACCACTTATAGCATACTCAATGCGTGCCAAGGATTTTACATGAGTAATTTAATTTAATCATCACAGTTCCCATATCAACCAACCTACACTATTCCAAATTGTCAAATAAAGTAAGTAAGGCTCTGAGAAGTAACTTAGTTGTTAAGTTCAAAATTAGATCTGTTTGTCTGACTCTAAAGACCCTGCACGTTCTCTAGGCATATCATGCTTTTTTCAGTTGGCCAAAGTTGTTAGGGAAGTAGATTTGTTTCTTCTTACCTCTTATGGCTGAAATTTAGAAACACTCAGATAGGGAAAAATTATAAAATTACATTTAGTTTCTGGAGCAGAGGGTCAAATGGCCCAAAACACTCCTCAGTTCTCTTTAAGCTGACACATATAGCATTTTGTATTCAGGGTAAATGTCTGGAAGTAAATTAATTCAAGTTAAGAGTTGAGTAATTTTAAGGATAGAGACTCATTTTGAAGAAGACGCAAAATTTAAGCACCTAAAATTGTTGAGTTGTTTCTCCAACATATTCTTCTGTTTCAGCATATGATCCTATAATAGTGCAGTACTTTTTGAACTGGCCTGCCTCATGTCCTCCCTGTTTCAGCCCATTCTGCCAAGCACAGCTGGCAAAGTCATTATTCAAAAGCATTTTAGTAAACACAGGCTCTTTGAAGATAGAACCCAGGTTCCCAACAACCCATCAGCAGATACATAAATAAGAGTCACAAAGCTCTGATATGTATGGTATCTTCTAGAAATCATAGTCTTGTTTTGCCAAAGAGGACCCCAGAATTTGAATTAAGGCCATCTTCATTATCTTCTCTTTTTCTCATTGCCTAAGGTGCTCAGATATGGGATGGAGAAAGGAGGTATGGGGACAAGTATCATGATCATCTATTCCAGCCAGTTGTTTATTTCGCTGCAGACTGATAGTCTTTGCAATATAGTTTAAGAAATTTCTAGTATTATCGTTTGTACCATATATACATGTCTTACAAAGCACATTGGGAAAATGATGTAAATGAAAATTGCATGGAATAACAAGTACTGTTCAAGATGTAAAAAGATTGCAATCATTATAGCTGGTGAAAGTATAAATTACTACAAGCATTTTGAAAAATTCTAGGGCAGCATCTACTAATGCATGTAACATATAAACTTAGGTTATATACTAAACATAAATGCATACATATATGCATCAAAAGGTGTGTTCATAGAAGCACTATTCATAATAGTCCCAAACTGGATAAAACTTATAGTATATTTATACAATTGACTATCATATGGCAATGACAATAACAAGCTACAACAATTAATGGAACTTCATAAATGTTATGTCGAGTGAAATAAACCAGACACAGGATACAGTCTGTGTAACTATATTTATATGAAATTCAAAAAAGACAAAGCTAATCTTTTGTATTAGAAGTTATAATATGGTTATACGGATGTAGTGATGAAAGTTAATGTTAGGCAATCCTGGGTTTCTGCTTATGTTCTATTTCTTGACCTTATTGCTTGTTACCTAGGTGAATTTATTTTGAAAATAAAAAAAAAATTACCAGTGTATACACTTTGATCTGTATTATTTTCTACATGCATAGTATACTTTAATATAATGTTTGTATTTACAAAAACCCACTTTTCTCTCTGGAGTATGAGATTTGAAGCATGTTTAAGTAACACTTATATTTAAAAAAATATATTTTACATAAAAGTTCCCTGTTACTCTCAACTTATCCATGTAGCCCATCTCCCTAAGTCAATTTTATGGGAAAGACAAAAAATGCTTATGTTGATGTAAGTCGCACTATATCTGATTTAGGCTTATCATGCAGCACCTTCTGTCACCTCTGGTGTGACTTCAGGGTCTATTGACAAAGATTATTTTTCTCTACAGGTATCTTCCCCACTTACTCAATGTAAATTGGAAAACCATTCTGGACCTTTGTTTTTCTAGGAGCTTTTATATTTTAATGTGGATTTGCCTAGTGATATAATAGTTTGAGTCATTTATGTTCTAAATTAGTTTATAAAAATAAACATAAAATTTACTGACATAGCAGGCAGGAGAAATATGAAAGAGAAGTATGGAAAGCTCATAGAGTGGAAGAACTGGCATTTCTCCAGTTTCATAGATTTATGTAGAGTTGAGATAAGGCCCTCTTGAGTAGGGCAGAGACAGAGAAGGCCTGTGAATGAAATCAATATTATTCATCTTATCTTTGAAGTAAAGTTATAAATCTAGTAGTAACTTTGGAGCAATGCTTAAAAATACTGCATTCATCAATAGAACTAAAAAATATATATATCACAACTTTTTTTTTTTTTACTTTTTCCTTCATGCTTGCCTTCTTTCTTTTTTATTTTACTTTTATAATTGACAAATACTAATTTTACATGGGGTACATAGTGATCTTTCAATACATATAATGTAAAGTGATTAGATCAGGGTAATTAGCATATCCATCATCTTAAACATGTATCATTTATTTGTGTTTGGAACATTGAATATCTTCCTTCTAGCTATTTGAAATTACGTAATATAGCTAACTATAATCAACCTACAGTGGTATGGAACACTAGAATGTATTACCGCTATCTAGCTTATAACCCTGTATCCTTAACAAATCTTTCTCTATTCCTTCATTCCTCCCATTATTCCCAGCCTCTAACATACTCCGTTCTACTTTTTGCTTCTATGAGATCAAGTTTGTTTAGCTTCCATATATAAATAAAAACATGCAGTGTTTAATTATCTTTCCCTGGTGTGTTGGAGGACATAAAGTCCTCTAGTTTCATCCATGTTGCCGAAAATGACAGAATTGTTTTACATGGCTGAATAGTGTCCTAGTGTGTGTGTGTGTGTGTGTGTGTGTGTGTGTGACGTTTTCTTTATCCTTTCATCTGTTGTTGAACACCTAACTTGATAAGACCTCAAATGCAAAAGCAAAAATAAGAAAATGGGATTGTATCAAACTATAGAGCTTTTGCACAGCAAAAAAAAAAAAAAAGAGTAAAAAGGCAACCTACAGAATTAGAGAAAATATTTACAAACTACTCATTTGACAGGAGATTGATATATAGAATATACAAGGATCCCAAACATCTCACCAGCAAAAAAAAAAAAAATTAAATTAAATTAAATTAAACAGTGGTTCTGGGCTTTTTTTTTGTTGGTAGGCTATTTATTACTGACTCAGTTAGAGAGCTCATTATTGGTCTGTTCAGGAATTCTATTTCTTCCTGGTTCGGTATGGAAGCGTATATGTATCCAGGAATTTATCCATTTCCTTCAGATTTTCTAGTTTATGTGGTTAGAAGGGTTCATAATATTCTCTGATTGTTGTTTGTGTTCTCTAGGGTCAGTGGTAATATCTCACTTGTCATTTTTTATTGTGTTTATTTCAATCTTTTTTCTTCTTTATTATTCTAGCTAGTGGTCTATTTTATTAATTAAATAAAAACATCTCTTGAATTCATTGATTTTCTTTAAATTGTACAAAAAAGAGCTGGTACCATTCCTGCTGAAATTATTCCAAAAACTGAGGAGGAGGGACTCCTCCTAACTCATTCTTCAAGGGTATCCTGATACCAAAAGCTGGCAGAGACATGACAACAACAACAACAAAAACTTCAGGCCAATATCCTTAATGAACATGCAAAAATCCTCAAAAAAAATGCTGGCAAACTGAATCCAGAAGCACATCAAAAAGCTTATCCTCTATGATCTAGTAGGCTTTATCTCTGGGAGCCAAGTTTGGTTTAACATATGCAAATCAATAAATGTGATTCATCACATAAACAGAACTAAAGGAAAAAAAAGTACTTAATTTCAATAGTTGCAGAAGAGGCCTTCAGTAAAATTCAACATCCCTTCATGTTAGAAACTCTCAATAAACTAGGTATTGAAGGAACATACTTCAATATAATGAGAGCCATCTATGACAGATTCATAGACAACAACATACTGAATGGGCAAAAGCTGGAAGCATTCCCCTTGAAAACTGGCTCAAGACAAGGATGCCCTCTCTCACCACTCCTATTCAATGTGGTATTGCAGTCATGGCTAGACCAACCAGGTAAAGGAAAGAAAGAAAGGGCGTCCAAATAGAAAGAGAGGAAGTCAAACTATCGCTGTTTGCAGACGACATAATCCTAGAAAATGCCATAGTCTCAGCCAAAAAGTTCCTTAAACAACTTCAGCAAAGTGTCAGGATACAAAATTAATGTGTAAAAAGTCACCAGCATTCCTATACAGCACCAGTCAAGCTGAGAGTCAAATCACAATTAACACACACACTCACACACACACACATAAATATCTAGCAATACAGCTAATGAAGGAAGTGAAATATCTCTACAAGGAGAACTATAAACCACTGATCAAATAAATTAGAGATGACATGAACAAATGAAAAAAAGCATTCCATGCTCATGGATAGGAAGAAACAGTATCTTTAAAATGCACACATGGCTAAAGCAATTTGTAAATTCAATGCTATTTCTATTAAAATTAACATTGACATTCTTCACAGAATTAGAAAAAAAAAACTATTTGAAAATTCAGGTGAAATCAGAAGAGAATCCAAATAACCAAGGCAATACTAAGCAAAAAGAACAAAGCTGGAGTCATCAAGCTACCTAACTTCAAACTATACTACAGGGCTAGAGTAACCAAAACAGCATGGTACTGGTACAAAAACAGACACATAGAACAATGGGACAGAACAGAGAACCCAGAAATAATGCTGCAGACCTATGACTATCTGGTCTTTGATAAATCTTTCAAAAACAAACAATGGGGAAAGGACTTTCTATTTGATAAATGGTGCTGAGAAAACTGGCTAGCCATATGCAGGTGATTAAAACTGGACTCCTTCCTTACCCCATATACAAAAATTAACTCAAGATGAATTAAAGACTTAAATGTAAAAACCAAAAGTACAAGAAACTCTGGAAGATAATCTAGGCAATACCATTTTGGATACAGGAACGAGCAAAGATTTAATGATGAAGACAACAAAAGCAAATGCAACAGAAGCAAAAATTTAAAAATGGGATCTAATTAAAGAGTTCTGCACAACAAAGGAAGATGTCAACAGAGTTAACAGGAAACCTACAAATGGGAGAAAATTTTTGCAAACTATGCATCTGACAAAGTTCTAATATCCAGCATCTATGAGGAACTTAAGCAAATTTACAAGAGAAAAACAACACCATTTAAAAGTGGCCAAAGGACATGTATAGACACTTTATAAGAAGACATACATGTAGCCAACTATCATATAAAAAAAGCTCAACATCAATGATCATTAGGGAAATGCATATCAAAACCCCAATGGGATACCATCTCACACCAGTCAGAATAGCTATTATTAAAAAGTCAAAAAATAACAGATGATGGCAAGGTTGTGGAGTAAAGAATGCTTATACACGGTTGGTCACAGTGTAAATTAGTTCAACCATTGTGGAAGACAGTGTGGCAATTCCTCAAAGACCTAAAAACGGAAATACCATTCGACCCAGCAATCCCATAACTGGGTATATACCCAAAGAATATAAGTCATTCTATCATAAAGACACATGCAAGCATGTGTTCATTGTAGCACTAGTCACAATATCTAAGACATGGAATCAACCTAAATGTTCATCAATAACAAACTGGATAAAGAAAATATGATACATATATACCATGGAATATTAAGCAGCCATAAAAAAACAAGATCATATCTTTTTGAAGAAACATGGATGGAGCTGGGGGTCATTACCCTTATCAAACTAACACTGAACAGAAAACCAAATACTGCATGTTCTCACTTATAAGTAGGAGCTATATGATGAGAATACATGGACACACAGAAGAGAACAACACACCCTGGGGCCTATTGGATGGTGGAGGATAGGAGGAGGGAGAGGATCAGGAAAAATTGATAAAGAATTCTAGGCTTAATACCTGGGTGACAAAATAATCTGTACAACAAACTCTACATGGCACAAGTTTACCAATATAACAAACCTGAACTTAAAATAAAAGTTAAACTTTAAAAAATGGGCAAATGATGTAAACAGATATTTCTCAAAAGAAGGCATACAAATGGCCAAAAAATATTTACAAAAATACTCAACATCACGAATCATCAGGGAAACGCAATTCAAAACCACAATAAGGTATCATCTCATTCCATTTAGAATAGCTATTATCAAAAAGACAAAAAATGCTGGCAAGGATGCAGAGGAAAGTGAACTCTTATACATTATTGGTGGGAATGAAAACTAGTACAGCCACAATGGAGAACAGTGTGGTAGTTCCTCAAACACCTAGAAACACAGCTACTATATGGCCTTCTTTCTTGAACAGAGGAATCAGTAAGTAAGTTACATGTTTTTTTCAGAATGCTTTGTATCTCAGATTTTCATTGAGGTTAAGAATTCACAAAATATTTATGACTCTAAACTGCAAAATAAATTTTCAGGGAAAATGATAAATTTTTAATGCCACTTTCCTTTTTACTCTCTCCTTGCCTATTTACACAGATGCACACAAGCATATTCATATTTTAAACAAAATATGCAAGATATAATATAAAAACATGCAGGTAAGTACTTTTTCTTAGGAGAAAAAAGGAAAAGGAAACTTTCATAAATTCAGTGTAAATAGCAAGGACCTCCTCCATTGCCACTGCTTCCTCAAGTACTTCTTGCCTTCTCCACACCACTCACCAGTGCTCCATATTTTCAGTCACTGATAGTTACCAACCCTGCCTGGTCTAGAAATCTCTATCACCATTTAGCTGACACATCTTCTGCAAAAGCCATAGTCATGACCAGGGAAACCAGGGAGGGCGAACTACTATGATAAGTGACCTCTGACCTTCATACATAGGTTTTAAAGACAAGAGTGGCAAGATAAAAAAAGAAAAATGTGGAGTTCCATATATACTTCCATATTAAATTTTACAACAAGATTATACTTTCTCCCAGTTGGCTGAAAAAAATATAATTTTATCGTTTAGTAAGTCTTAATAATCTACATTAGAATTTTTTTCTCTGCTTTTATTTTCATCCTTTCTTATTCATGTTTTCAATATAGCCCTGTCTGCTATGGATGGCACAGCATAGCACTGTCTGCATATGTGCAGACTGAAGAACTCCTCAACAAATAATTATTTATGAGAGTGTATCTTAGAAAATCTCATAGTTAAACAGGCTGTATTATCATAAGTGACAGAGAAGTGTCAAGCCAAGGTCAGCCAGTAACTCTGACCTCCCTGGAAAGCTGGACCTTGGCTAGATTTAAGATTTCATGCAGTTCACAAGTGACAACCATATAGTCTTCCTTGAGGGACATGGTAAGATAATAACAAGGAATTTCAAAGCAGTTAGAAACCCATGATTTCCCCTGTAAATAGTGTTTTTAAGTGCATGCACATCTCTTGGTTAGTAATAGCCAGTAACCTGCAAGTTGCATTATTTACGACACACTTTCATATACATACTGCCACCTGCTGGTAACTGTGTAAATATCAGCCCACAAAAAGTCCTAAATCCTGATTTTTCAAAGGACTGGTTGTTTCAAAAGCCCAATGACTCAGCTTTGGATTTTAATCATTCTTTCTGTTAATAATTAGAGAAATGCACTGGTGTCAACACCTAGATTCAAGTGAATACTTATGATGATAATGGAGGCTTTTATACAGGGTTTTGTAGTTTAATTGAATCAACTTTTTGAAACAAAAGCAAGCAATACTAGTGAAATATATGGTCAACTTTTTATAAATACACTGACTAAGTAATTTGTAACAGTCTTTTTATCATTTTTATGACTTAGTTTACAAATTAATTAAAGTTAAAAACATATGACATTCTTAATTATAGCTGCTGTTAATATGGAGGGTGTATTATATCCCAACTACATTAATTATCTCTTTCCATCCTTACAGCAGCATTATGGTGCATTTACTGGAAAATCCCCTTCTTAAAGATGAATTCAAGGACACAAAGCTGATAAGTGGATTATAAATAGATCACTGAATATTGTGAAATATTAGACAACGTCATTGTTAAATTAAACTTGTCCTCCAAACTGGCTGACTTAGAAATTGGAAATTGTGACTTTCTAAAAACAGCAAACATTTTTGTTATTTTGCAATAAATCTAATTGTGATCCTACACTTAATTATAAAGGGCTTTATGTGACGAAAACACACACGACCGGCAGCTATTTAAAAACACAAAATTGAACAATTAAAATACGTAGTCATGATAGTACACACAATCAGTAAAGGCCTAAAATGAAAAATTATGTGGACATTTCAAAAAAGTTATGCAGTATAGATTTAAATTAGGGAGGAAAAAATGTTGAAAACATGTCTAGGATGATGATACCTATGCTATTACCTAATACAAATACAAGAAATCATTTCCAAGTAGATTCTAGTGATTTAATAACTAATAAAACAACAAAGACATTTTAAAAACATATATTTAGAAGACAAAGCAATTTCTAAAAAAGACATATTAATTCATTTTTTGAAAAGACTGTCGCTTAAATTCTGAATGGTGTCCCCTAATGCGTATCCATTTACATAGATTTTAGAGACACAAATGATGTTAGAAGGATGAGAAACCTGATTTGTTTCACCATGCCGCGCTGAAAAGCACAAAGTAAGACTTAATCATATTTATAGTAACCATATGTTTTTTATTTTCTGGGACAGTCAGGATATCATATTTGCTTTTCAATAAAGATGACCAGTTAAATTTATAACTAATATGATTTTATTTTTATGCCTTTAGAGTGATAATAAATATATCACTTAAATAAATACAAAGTACAGTACAAAATGTTTTGCTTTATTGAATGCGCTCAATTTTTATTTGGCCAATATAATTGTTCTTTGTGTTGTTGAGCTGTTTTAGGATAAAGGAATTTGGTTGTATCAAGGAACAAGTATGATTTAGAACCTTGAATTTTCTAGTATGTCCAGATGTACCTCATCTTATGAAATGATGTAAAGAGTGACCAGCTACCTGTAGTCAGGCTTAGGACCAGTGAAATCCTATGCTCTGATTATCCTTTTACCTAGCTCACTAATTTGAAACCCCACCTTTAGATGCCTACTCCTTTATTCAAAGTAAACATAGCTTTATACACTTAAAATTGAATTTCTCTGTAGAAATCTATAGGTATTATGAGTTGTGCATTTAAATAACTTATATTATTTCATATGATCAGGTGTCATAGAATACTGAGAAGACAGTGTGATCCTGAAGGGAGAAGCAGAGGTAAACTTCATCTACCTTACTATTATGCTTATCTACATAATATGATGCTGTTTTTGTTCAAATGGACCTAAGTTAAAGCTCCTTTGTCATGATCTCCAGATGGTTCCATAAACCACATATTGGTAGACTCTAAGATTATTATAATATAAATAAATTCCATGTTAAGAAGATTTTTCTCCTGAATTTTGACATATAAATGAAATAGCTGCACAAGCTTTAAGGCACATTACACATATGTGTTATTTTCTTCTTTTCTCGAAGTTAACTATGACCATGTCCATACATAGCTCATGTTATGTTCTCAAAAGTAAACTCCAAACCACATTTTCAACCTTATGTTGAATGTTTTTCTCTGATTGTTAATTCAACAGACATTTTTTAAAAATTCAATGAAACCACCATCCATTGTCATACTTGCACCACAAGGAGAGTACATGTATGGGTAAGGCCCAAGCTATGCTCTTAAAAAGCTTATAGTCTAAGAAGAAACAAGTTAAACATAGGGATATGCTGACAGGTGTTTAGCAATCACCTCTTCAGGGAAAAGAGAGAGCCTGATTTGAAGCATTTGCCAATATTTTTGGTGTTAATGCTCCCACCATGACAGGTTTTAGGCTACCAAACTGAAGTCATTGAAGTAGGGATTGGGAAGGAAATGTGCATAGTTAGCTTTTGCAAATTTGTAAAAGTTGACACTAGCACACCATTGGTTATGTACACATTATTTCAAGCACAATGTGATAAATGATGTGATTGAAACATGTCGTAGTGCTGAGGAAACCCAGGAAAATGTAGGGAGTTTTGTCGATCAAAATCAGAGAAGGCTTCCAGTAGGGCAAAGTCAATAACCCAAACTCAGTGTGATCTCATTATTTCCTCAACTTTATTATTTTCCTCATCTGCTTGCTTATATTAAAAATAAAATAGTATTTTTAAGTTACTTAGAAGAAATACAATCTTAGATTTACCATTATTTTTCTTTTTTTTTTTTTGTCCATCACCGCATGTGTTCAGATGTGAAGCCCCATTATTTTGACTTTCCTTAAAACATTAATATGGATCTCCCGACTTCTGAGCCTCACTGACACAATCCTTTTGCCCTGGTCTAAGACACTTTTCTGATCAAGATAAAGCAGACATGCATTTTCAAGATGTTGAAAGAGGTTATCTGTGGTTTAGCATTTCTAGCCTTATTCTCACCATTCATTATAACTAAATTTTCTTTGTAATTATTTATTTGTCTTTATAAGTCTTCCTTCAATAACTTACAATTTGCTTGAGGGCAAATGTGTTGTTTTATTCACCACAGTAGCCTTAGGACCTAGCAGGTGTCTCATATTACTATCCCCAATAAATATATATTGATAAATGAATTTATAAATAAGTATCTACTGAATATTTTTTCTTTATTAGTTCTCTAATTATCCTTATCCTCCATTTTGAGTTTGATCTTCATATCCTTTATTAGACACTGCTCTTTTACCTACAATAACATGCATTCTCTCCCTCCTAAGTAACAAATATACTCAAAGTAACAAGACTTGCAGCTACAGGTTGGTTTTGTTTGGCCTCTCTGTGGCTATATGACTAGAAATGGCTTTGTGACTATTCCTATCCAATGATAAGTAAGTGGAAGTGTCTAGGAGTAGTTCGAGGAAGTCTTCTTAAAAAGAAGATAGTAGGCTTTCTTCACCCTTTTTGCTTTTTGATGCTGGAACACAAGTGTAATGACTCAATTTCCATCAGCCATGTTAGGACACAAAATGACTTCTAAAATGAAGGCCATGAACAAGACGGTGAAGTAGCAAGATAAAAAGAACCTGTGTTTATGACATAACTAAATCATTATATTATCTCTGAACTAAATTTCTCAGAAATTAATTGGAGAGATAAACAAAGAACACTGAATTCTCATAGAAACTACTATAATCATACAAACTGCTCCTATTTCTTATCAAATATAGCATAACCCAATATTAACCAATATTGTTTCCACCATTTCTTGCTGTTCCAACTTTATTTTCCAAGGTCATTTTATTTCCTCTCATGGTCACCATTTGTTTCTATTATGCACTGTATCTTCAGCCTGATCTTCTAAATCAATTACTGATTAAGGATTTCTCAGGGCCCAATACCGTCTTCTTGGGGGACTTGTACAGGTTTTGAGCCTCTCCAAATATCAAAGCCCGGTATATCTGCATGTGGTTATTGTCTTCTGTTTCTGAAGCCTCTTTCAGTTGTATTCCAGAAATAGCGCAAGTTCTCCAAGCCAAAAAAAGCTCTTCCTTTATCTTGGAGATAAGGAAAAATTACAAACAGACCCCTTTAGCAGATTTGTCTGTAGAATGTATTTCTTTTATTCTGGGTTTAGCGTTTTTCTGATATATGTCACTGGGATTCATGACTACATGGAAATATCAGGCATCTGTATAATTCACTTTGTGAAGTTTGAGACTTTGTCCACTTCATAAGATACTTGCCCCAAAATATGATGGTGTAGGTAGCTCCCTGGCATCACAGGTGTGGAATGGAAATCACTTATACGTATGAAATTCTGTATAGTTTACAAAGTTTGCCATTAATTATCTGATTGCAGCCTCACAAAACTTAGTGAGGAAAGAACCAGCATTACTACTTATATATTGCACAAAAAAGGATTGAGACTCAGGGAACTTGCCCAAAGAAAATAAGAATAATTAAATTCGACACAGGTGTTTTTAATGCCAAGTCCTATGATCCTTCATTTTAACATTTCTTTGGACCTCTACTGAGCAAAATTTGAACTTGGAATACATTTATTATGAGGGCATTAGTAAAATCTTTCATTTTAATATCAACAGGAAATTATTAATCCCCAAATACCTTTTGCCTGGTTTAATCTTGAATATGGACTAAGTCATGTTGCAGTAAATGATGGGCTAAAGATTTCAGTAGCTTAAAACCACAAAAGTTTATTTACTGATGCCTTTTAATACATACCCTGAGTAGATAAGCTGGAGTAATATGTTAAGTCAGTCAGAGACACAGGCTGATGGAAGCATCGTCTTGATTCACGTGTCCACAATCACTGTCTCAGTTCTTGCTACAGGGCCCTGTACTAATAAATGCTTCCACCTGAAAGTGACTGTCTTCATTGATGCTCATATTTTACTGGTCAACACAAGTCACATGGCCCCAAGGAATGTGTGTTAGTTTCCTAGGGCTGCTGTAAGTAATTACCATTAACTTAGTAGGTTAAAATAACAACAACAACAACAACAACAAATGCTTTCACAGTTATGGAAGGCAGAAATCTAAAATCAAGGTGTGAGCAGGGCCATTCTCTCTGAAGCCTCTAAAGAGAATCTTTCCTTGTCTCCTCTAGTTTCTAGTGGCTCCAGGTGCTTCTTAGCTTGTGGCTGCATAACTTCAGTATCTGCCAGTGTCTTCGCATGACCTTCTCTTCTGTTTGCTAAAAGATACTTATAATTGGACTTAGGAGGATGGATGCAACCAGATAATCCAAGATTATCTTATATTAGTATGTGTCTTGTTGGGATAAACCCTAAATATTCACTTGCCATTTGAGTTTAATTTCTGCTGCTTTTGCAGGGCTCATATAATTTGGCTTCAATTTGGGTGACTGATGGTATCCTAGTTTCCCTTTTGGAATGGAAGTCAATACTTTCCCTGCCTCTGCACCCCCTCCCACCACTCTACTTAAGGCCAACCCACATATTTCCATATTTCCGTATCTCTATATTTCCATATCTCTTATATATGGGACATCGTAGGCAGAATTCTAAGATGGTACCCAAGATTACTGCTCCTTGATTTACATAGTCTATGTAATCTCCTTCCCTTGAATGTAGCAAAATCTATGAAAATGATGAGATGTCACTCCCATGATTATGCCCTGGTATATGGCAGATGTTGTTTTAAAGATATAACATTCTTAATCAGTTGATACTGAGTTATTGAAAAAGGAGGTTATTCTGGGAGAATCGAACCAAATCATGTAAGCTCTTAAAAGAAGTCAGCAATTTGAAGCCAGAAACACTCACCTACTAGCTTTGAGAAAGCAACAGGCCATGTTGTTGAGACTGCCACGTGTCAGAGAATGATGGGCATCCTCTAAGAGCTGAGGAATTCAGTCCTACAACCACAAGGAAGTGAATTCTGCCAACAATTTGAATGTGCTTGGAAGTGAACCCTGAGCCCAAATGACAATTGGATTTGGCTGATACTTGGATTTCAGTTTTGTGAGATCCTGAGTAGAGAACCTCTTATGGTAAACCGGATTCTGAGCTACAGAACTGTGAGATAATAAATGAGTGTTGTTTTAAGCTGCTACATTGGCTGTAATTTGTTATATACCAATAAACAACTAATATACGGAGCATTCTACTTCTTATTGCCTAGTAATGTTTGGCTTTAGCTTCAAACAAATTAGCCACAACAGTAGCCTAAACAGTGATACTGTCACACATGTAACTCATTGACTTACTGTTTTAAAAAATGACAGCTTCCAATTTTTATCTGTGGAATTATAACCCCCTTATAAGTATTGATGCTGGCCCATGATACATCTAAATATGTCACATCCCTTTGAACACTGGTTTTTTATTCTGCCCCTGGTCATAAAGCTCACCCATGGTGTAACATTAAGCCAATTATGATCCATTCTCTGATTTCTGGTTTCTTTCTTTTTCGGAGTAATTACTGATGGGAATTCCTGTCTATTTAGCAGCAAAGCCAGGAGGGATTGCAACAAACATATGGTTAAATTGATTAAAATTGTAAGAGAGTGGTAAATGAAGATGCCACTCTTGGTTACCATCAATGAGATTTCTAATAAGATATTGCTTAGAGTAGAAAAAAATAGATGGTTTTAGATTATGTGAATTCAATCATATAATAGCAGCAGAACTGCACATCTAGCATTTTCTTTGTTTTGACATAAAATAAGTTTTAATTTTCACTGAGTTTTGTACTTCTGATTATACGGGTATTTTTCCCTTTTATTTCATTGTGTAAACATCTAATAATTTCCTATTAGAACTTTGGTTACATTTGTGTGTATTTATATATAATCCTCTCATTTTATTCTTTAAAATATGCATAGTTTTGAATTCCTTTAAACCCATTTGTACTGCACACCTCTGTATATCATGTCAGTAGTGAAAAGTTCATCCCAAGAACAAAGATGATGAAGAGGACACCACAGCAGGGAAATTTAAAATAAAAGAAAAAACATATTTATTAGCATGGCTATAAGAAGGAGAGAGATGTATATTGTGTAGAAGACCTTCTGCCAACTCCTCAATTTAAACTCCCAACAGTCCTCATTCAAAATAGAAAGAATCCCTCCCCATTTGATGTAAATTCCTTTGCGCTACAAGAATCTGCATTGGACACAAGGGAAGAGATAGGCATGCTTTCAAGAATCCATGGAGGTTACCAGGAAATCAGGAAAGACAAATGGCAACCAACAAGGAGTAGAGTAACTTGGCATTTTAGAAACCTGTGGAACAAATCCAGAAGAAGAAAGGGCACTTTAAAAGCTTGAACAGTCAAGACTCTGATAAATTTGATTTAAATTAAAACTACATGTCTCTTTCATTTTTAAAACATGGATCTTGCTTTGTAAGAGACAACAAACAACACAGTGGAAACCTGGCTGCCTGGCTGCTAAGCTCAAGTTTGGCCCTGTGTTCAGTTTAATCTGTAGTCTTGAGTAAGTCACTAAACTGTCATATCCATTGGATTGCAGATGTTTAAATCACTAAAATAATATTTACCTAACTCAGGGGGATTTTGAGTTTTTTTGTTTTTAATTCTTATTGCAAAGCATTTTTTTTCTTTAAAACTTTTAAGTGAACAGTACTGAGATATATAAAATAGCATTATCAGTTTCCTTCTAATTGATTGATTACAAAAATGCAGTCATGTCCCAGTTTTCACCAATGAGTCAAGTCAAAATCTAAAACTGGTTAAGTCTTAAATTTTACCTTTTTTTTTTTTTTGATAAATGTCCCAGGCCAAATGTACAATATATCTTAAATACATGGCAGGAAAAGAGGTAAAGACAACCCCATATGCACATTTATCTTACTATATTCAGTAGACAGACTTTAGTCTCAAGGTAATGGATAGTCATTATCTCAAATATTTGAGATTAAAACAACACTTAGTAAAAAAGAAAAAACTTATATGCTCTTGTGGCTTAGTGCATTATATCTGTAACAGCAGAGTAACTTCGAAATCTCACATTCAGACATATTTTATAGTTTTTTTAATTTAATATCTTCCAAGGTGACCTCACTAAAAACATCTGAGGCTTATATAGTAGAAATTATTTTATACTATGCACGTTCTGCATATTACTACAACTTTTATTAATTATTTGTTTCCAGGTAAACTACAGTGGCTTATAATTAGCAAGTTACACTTCTATGTATTGTGGGACTCACAAAGAGTGTAACCACTCATCCTCAAAGAATCTAAATTTTACATCGGTAGGTCAAATTTGTAAACATAAAAACTCATTTAGAAGAGAATTAAAATACAAAGCATCGCAAGTTCAAAGAAAGCACCAGAAACATTGTTCAAAAATAATTTCTTTCAGATGCATTTCCTTATAAAACAACAAGAAGACCAAAATGTTTCCTTTTTTCCAATATTGGTGTTCCTTTTGTAACATGTGAAAACTGAGGCTCAGAGAAGTTAAGAAACTCTAGAGTAGAAAACAGAGAGAAAATCTTTTGTAAGTTAGAGAAGTCGGACTGCCAATAGCACATGTAGGGTGAGGAATCTAGACTGACTAGAGCAAGGAATTCAGTTGGGGAGTGGTAACATAAGACTAGAGAGAATGGTTAAGTTGGTATCTGGAAGAGATTTTTCTTAAGAAATTAGCTTAATTATTTTATGAGCACACACAGTGTCATCTAAGACAATAGAGTTTGGCTTTTCAGTTTTTTAGCATTGTCTTCTTGTTTGAGATAGACAATTATCAGTGATTCTACTTGCTTGCTGTGAGTGTAAAGTACACTGGTAGAGTAGATGATGATTTTTTGTTCCCCTGCGTTCCTTCTTATATATATATATATATATATATATATTTTTTTTTTTTTTTTTTTTTTTTTTTTTTTTTTGCCACCCAACATCCGTTAACTTTACATCTGACATTAGCCACCAGTTCCCACTTGAGATTCCATACCATATTCATTCTCAGTCTGTGTGTTTCTGCCATAGCTAACAGTATTCTTGATGCCAAAAATGGCACGTAACTTCAGCCTTAAAACCTCCAGGAACAGTGATTAGATTAATAATAGGACTCAGGCCAGGCAATAAAAGCCCAAGATGTTAAATTGAGATTTTTATTTTGGCTAAGCGAAATGGACACACAATGTGGATGGAGCTGCTGCAGCACTCATTTTGGTGAATTAAAGGAAATAGAGCTGAGATATTGAGAGAAATATGGCCCTGGTGAAATAATTTATACAAATATTCTAGATAAAGCTGTATCTGACTAATTCTATTCCCTAGAATTTTTTGGAATATGAGTTTGGTAGGCAGAATAACGCCCACCAAAGGTGTCCAGGTTCTAGTCCCCGGAAGTTGTGAATTTACTAGGTTACATGACAAAGGAAAATTAAGGTGGTGGATGAAATTAAGGCAGAAAAATCAGATGACTTCACAATAGAGAGATTAGTCTGAATTGTCTACTAGACCTAATGTAATTGCAAGAGTTCTTAAATGTGGAAGAGTGGGGTGGAAGTAGAGAATCAGAAGATAATCAACCTATGAAAAAAGAGTGAGAATGTTGTAGTATTGCTCTCCTGCAAGATGAAGGAATGGGGGCCAAGAAATGTGAGTGGCCCCTAGAAGCCGGGGAAGGGAAGAAAATGGATTCTTCCCTAGAGACTCTAGAAAAGAACGGCCTTATGACACCTTGATTTTAGCCGAGTGACATGCATGTTTAATGCTAATCTATGGAACTGTAAGAATAAATTGCGCTGCTTTAAACCACAAAGTTTGTGGGAGTTTGTTACAGCAGCCACAGAAAATATATTGAGCGAATAAATCTCCCCCCCCACCACTTATTTTATTTCTCAAAAGTTTTCTTTCACTTGCAGCAAACTGGTTTAACTGGTTAAGGTGAGAAAATATATAAAAAACTTACAACTACTTTAAATCAGCTTAGGACTTTGTGACACAGTCCAAGGACTACATACAAATTCCATAGTACAGCAGCTTTATGTTATCAGTTTGAGAAACTTAAAACATTACGCTTATTGCTAGGATAGATTGATTCCTTGGAAAATTGATGTTAACAGTGTTGATGTCTGGGGAAATAGAGTGAACTACCAGGTACATTTCATGTTGTTTCTTTTTCTGTAATTTTTATTCTTAGATATATCAAAAATCATTATTTTTAAGGTATTTTCTTTCAAAAGAATCATTACAAGACATTTTTAAGGTAAACAAAGGGTTAATAGATCTAATTTTATACAACAATGCAATTTAATTTAAGGAAAATGAGTTTTCTGTACATAGAAAAAGTTATATTAATTTAGAGCAAGATAGGGGAATTCAGTATTGCATTTCATGAATTATTTTTA
Organism: Homo sapiens; assembly: GCF_000001405.40. Lineage (NCBI taxonomy): Eukaryota > Metazoa > Chordata > Mammalia > Primates > Hominidae > Homo > Homo sapiens. The sequence continues at coordinate 85,564,849 of NC_000007.14, forward strand.
TAAAGTATCTGTTATGTTTACCATTTATAAAATTGTATTGCTCATGAAATGTGGTTAATCATACTCTTACGTTCTAGGAAAAACAAAACAAAATGTTACTCTATGTAGAAACGATGAAGCCACCCCATTTAAAAATACCAGCCACATGCTTTTAAACTGTTTTCCAATTCATAATGTATCTAAGAGTGTTAGTGGATTATACAGTCTCAACATACGTTTTTCATTCAGCTGTGGCTTGGAGCCTTGGAGAAACTTTGCAACTGAATCAAGCAATTTTTGGTAGAAACATGTGTCTTTTCCTTTTTTTTTTTTTAAAAAAAAAAAAGGCTGAATAGTTTGTTTATGTGCACTCATATATACAACAGCAGCCATGCAAGTTATTAATGATTATTAATTAAACTATATGTATACTTAAATGTATCAAGGAGAGTAATTTTTTTATTGGTAACTAGAAACAAAATGATGTAAGATGTGAAAAAAAAATTGTAGCTTCAGAAAACCAGGCTCATAGCAATATTGGACAAATAAAAGCATGCTTTGTGTTCCTGACACAGATGACCACCAACACAGTTATGTGACTGTCTTGAAGTCTTCCAATCTATGAGGCATGCAGGAAACAATGACAAAGTAGTTATTCCACTTCACTTTGAGCTGTTGATAATGAAAGCAAAGAAGTCATAGAAAAACTAAGAATTCAGATAATTCTCTAGTTTCAGAACAAATCCATAAATGCCATCTGCTAATTCTCAGAAACTGGATAAACCAGTCCTTATTAAAGTTTTAAGAGTTGACAAGTCAGTATCATAGAAGCTGAGCTATATTAGGAAAATGAACTGGGTTCTAATCTTGGATCAAATTCTTAAATCACGTATTAAGTCAAATACTTAAGAGAAAAAATACTGTCTTCACTTAAATACTTTTTATTTTCCCCAAAGGAATAATTACCCCTGCTTTATGTTATGGAATAGTAGGCTCTCAATGTAGCAATTTGAAAACACTTGGAAGATTTTATTATGGTTATCTCTTTTCAAGAATATGTTCTATTAAATTTTTGGATGACTTATCTAGAGAAATTAATTCATGCAGTTGATGAATCATGATCCAATCTTATGCCCCATTATGTGTAGGGCCCCATTTCTTCATGTCCTTCTAAAAGTACATTCTCTCCCACTTACTTTGGGCAGGAGGCTTTTTTTTTTTTTTTTTTTTTTGAGACAGAGTCTCGCTCTGTTGCCCATGCTGGAGTGCAATGGAGCGATCTCGGTTCACTGTAACCTCTGCCTCATGGGTTCAAGCAATTCTCCTGCCCAGCCTCTTGAGTAACTGGGATTACAGGCGCACAACACCACGCCCAGCTAATTTTTGTATTTTTAGTAGAGACGAAGTTTCGCCATGTTGGTCAGGCTGGTCTTGAACTCCTGACCTCATGATCGGCCCGCCTTGGCCTCCCAAAGTGCTTGGGATTACAGGCGTGAGCCACCGCGCCTGGCCGAGGATTTTTCAAAGAGTTGCCTGCACAAGTAAGAGCAACCTTACTTGGCTGTCTGCACAGAAGTATGCTGCCTATATGTGTGAAGACGATCATATCTCATTGCATCCCTGTGGATGTTTTATAATATCAATATTACAGAATTGCAGGCATTTGCTGTTCTAAGCACTTAAAACAGAATTTAAAGTATAAAAGCTATGATAAGGAGCGAAATGCTATTTTATTGCCAGAATAAACCTTAAGAGTATGCTGAATGAGTTATCTTTTTGGCAACAATCTGATATTACTGTGTTGCTCCACATGTATTGGCATATTGCATTTCTGGCTTGCTATTTAAAAAAAAATGTTGATTTCAATATTCCTTTTGGTGTAAAAATGAGGGAAGCAATTATGTTTGACTCAAGCCAAGAAAAAAATAGGAGTATTCCATTTGTTATGATAAACTGATCATATAAGTAGGACAAGGTCAATAATAAGTATGAGAGAAAATAACCATGCTTTTGGGCTCACCAGTTCTCACTAAATTTTTATAAAAGAAAAAACAACCTTAACTAAACAATTTGCTATAACGAGAATAATAATAAAATAATCATTTACTGAATATAAAGTTTCTCTAATCTGTCATTTCCTTTCCATCCTTACTATAGTTTCCTGGGTTAGATTTGTATCTTTTCTCCCTCGATTGTTACTCTCTCTCCCAGTGCAGCTAAAATATTCTAACTGAAACACAAATCAAACCACATTATCCCCCTACTAAAATCTCTTCAATGGTTCTCTAAGTTTAAATCCATTACTTGACACTTACTTACTGGTAGGTTTTGTTGTTGTTGTTGTTGTTTTTGAGATGGAGTCTCGCTGTGTCACCAGGCTGCAAGTGCAGTGGCGAAATCTCTGCTCACTGCAAGCTCTGCCCCCTGGGTTCACGCCATTCTCCTGCCTCAGCCTCCCAAGTAGCTGGGACTACAGGCGCCTGTCACTGCTCCCAGCTAATTTTTTGTATTTTTAGTAGAGACGGGGTTTCACCTTGTTAACCAGGATGGTCTCGATCTCCTGACCTGGTGATCCGCCTGCCTCGGCCTCCCAAAGTGCTGGGATTACAGGCGTGAGCCACCATGCCTGGCCACTTACTGGTAGCCACTCGTTCTTTTATGACTTAGTAACACAAATTGCGTTCAGTAGAGTTCCACACATACCACATTCTGGTATGCTTTGTTGACTTATTCATTCACTCTGCCTAAGTGGTCTGCCTATGTAATTTTTGCCAGGCCTATTTTAATTTATCCTCTATAAATTGGCTTCCTGGAACTGAGTTAACTTTATTATTCCCGCTTGAGCTAAATACTCTTATGTTCCCTTAACTACCCCTCTTCCTTGGAAATCTGTATCTTAGCATTTATCACTTTATTTTGACATCTTCTTTCTCTTCCATTAGACTTTAAATTCCCTAAGACCATTTATGTATTCTCAACAACTAGCATGACTGACACATAATTTACTTGCGATAAATTTTTGTTAGGATGAATTAAGTTAAATCAGATAACTTAGTGCATTATTATCTAAATAATGCTCACACAAACATTTCAGATAGGCTTGACTAATATTATTATTTACATTTTATGTATGAGAAAACCGAGGCATAAACAGTTCTGGTGATTGACCCAAAACCACACATTGAGTGAGAAGAGATGCTGAAACCAAATTCCAGGCCTTCTGATATCAGTTTTCTTTCTTTCACTGCTTTTCTAGAACATGGGCAATGACAAATCAAAGTTGTGATTTTGACTTTTACATTAAATTTACTATGTGACATTAGGCATGCCATGTGAGTTCTTTTGGTTTCAGTTCCCTCTTTGTAAACTTTGAGCATTAAACTAGACTCTAGAGTCCTGCCATTTTATTTTATGGTCCACTGAAACCAAAATAAGCAGTTTGTTGTTTCACAGTAGTACATTACTCTGATTGTGCACTTTTACTTGAATTTTTCCATAATATAAACATTTTATGGACTTAAATTTTGCTCAATTTCAATTAGCTCCTCTGTGCTAGTTGTTGAGGATTGAGGGAGTCCACTCAATAGCTCTATTCTTGCTTCCCTCAGATTTTTACCAAACCATATACCAGAGTTAGCCAATGGAGAAAAAAAAAATCATTATTGTTGAAACAGGCCAAATTTGAAGATACAGTTGAGTGTGATTGTGAAAACAAGCTTTCTAAGCCCCCTTTCTCAGTCTTGACCTTGAATAACTTAAGAGCACAGGCTCCCATAGCTCTGAATGAATAAGCCAAAAGAAAAATACCAACACTACCTCTTTCAAGATAAGATGCTCTATTGGTAAACTTCCTTCAATCCATAAACATGGCTAATGGCAATCACAACTATTTAGCGAATAATTTTCTCTGTGTGAATAAAAAGACTGGGGATAAAGCATTTATTTTAATATGCATATAGATCAGAATAGCCTCATACCAAGCAACTGGTGGGAGCATAGTATTAATAAAGGACAAAATTATAAATTTAATAAATTTATGGACCAGTCAGTTTTTCATAGAATATATCATGGTTTCAACAATGCAGCTAAATCGCTAATACCAGTCTGTAATCCCAAAAGACAGCAGGTAAGAGGCAGGATTTTAGCTGAGTCAAATTCAACACGCCTATTAGAAAAACAAATAAACAAGAACTCTACAAACAACAAAACTCAAAAAGCCGGTGATTATATATAACTATACATAAATGTAGTTATGCTTAATGAAATTGCTGTGTAAGCTCTCATCAAATAATAATTATGAAATGTGGACAAAATATTTTTGAATACTCAAAAGCACTGGAGAAAGACTAAAATTAAACAATATCCACTCAGCAATAGAAAGATATTAAAAAAGTGATACACACAACATTAGGTCGAGTGAACAGTCTTTCACAAAATAATACATACTGTATGATTCTCTTTATGTGGAGTTTGAGAACTGGAAAAACTAATCTGTGGTAGAAAATATTAGAAGACTAGTTGTCTCTAGGGGAGAGTAAATTTAGCTCTACTAGGAAGAGGCATAATGGGACTACCTCAGGTGAGGGTAATATACTATATCTTGATAGGAATTATAGTTATGTATTTACTTGCCAAAACACAGAAAATGATGCTTTTACAGTGTATGCATTTAATTTATGTGAACTATACCTAAAATAAATAAGAAATAAATATTTAACTTTGGTTAAAAATATGCATTCTGAAGTAAAAACTGAAGTAAACTGACATCTACAAGTTTGAAGTACACCACAAATGATGGAATGAAAGATAGAATAATTGATAGATGGATAAATATGTAATAAATCAAGCATAGAAAATATTTATTACAAAACCTGTGTAACATATATAAAGGTATTCAGTATAAAATTATTTCGGCTTTTCTGTATGTTTAAAATTTTTATAATAAAAGTATAGATTCATGAAAAACATGTATATATAATGTAGATTACACATATGTGTAAAATATTATAAATAAATGTAAAACACCTCAAGCAGAAGTTAGAAAGGTAACTCACCTTTGCTGCATTGGGTCTTGTGCTAAATACTAATTCAGTTTTCATTATCCTAAAGAAGATTACAGCTCAATTGTTTGTGGGAGTACTCATGCCTTGTAGATATATGGTTGCCTTTGACAACCATTGGATGGTATTGACATCACCTTGAATCCAGGAGAACTTCCAAATTAATACCCTTATTTCACAGTAATGGGTGAATAATCTAAAAAGTTTCAATTAGAATTAATGTTAGTAATTTAAAAAAACTGTAGGAGAGATGCTCTCACTCACTTAGATAAGTATCAGAAAGCATGCAGCTGTTTTTGTACCCATACCATGATGTTTTGCTTACTGTAGCCTTACAGTATAGTTTGAAGTCCAGCAGTGTGATGCTTCCAGCTTTGTTCTTTTTGCTTAGGACTGCTTTGGCAATTCAGCCTCTTTTTTGGTTCCTTACAAATTTTAGAATAGTTTTTTTTTCTAATTCTGTGAAAAATAGCATTAGTAGCTTGATAGAAATAGCATTGAATCTGTAAATTGCTTTGGGCAGAATGGCTATTTTAACAATATTGATTTTTTCCTATTCATGAGCATGGAACGTTTCACCATGTGTTTGTGTCCTCTCTGATTTATTTTAGTAGTGTTTTGTAATTCTCATTGTAGAGATTTTTCACCTTCTTGACAAACTATTTTCCTGGGTATTTTATTCTTTTTATGGCTATTGTAAATGTGATTGCGTTCTTGATTTAATTCTGAGCTTGGACGCTATTGGTGTATAGAAATGCTATTAGTTTTCTTATATATTGATTTTGTATCCTGAAAAATTACTGAAGCCATTTATCAGTTCTAGAAACCTTCAAAAACAGACACAAAAACCAATGGAACAGGAAAGAGAACCCAGAAATAACATCACACACATACAATAGTCTGATCTTTGACAGAGTCGACAATAACAAACAATGTGGAAAGGAGTCTCTATTCAATAAATGGTGCTGGAATAACTGCCTACCCATATGCAGAAGACTGAAACTAGACCACTTTAATTATATATAAAAATTAACAAGATGGATTAAAGGCTCAAACATAAGGCCTAAAACAACAAAAATCCTAGAAAAACACTGAGGAAATACTATTCTGGACATCAGCCTTGGCAAATAATTTATGACTAAGTCCCCAAAAGCAATTGCAACAAAAGTAAACATTGATAGTGGCACCTAATTAAACTAAATAGCTGCTGCACAGCAAAATAAACTATCAACAGAGTAAGCAGATAACCTACAGAATGGAAGAAAATATTTGCAAACTATACATCCAAGAAAGCTGTAACATCCAGAATGTGCAAAGACCTTAAAGCAGCAAAAAAACACAAAAAACAAAAACCAAAAAAAACTGTTAAAAAATGGGCAAAGGACATGAACGGCCACTTCTCAAAAGAAGATATACATGCAGCCGACTATATGAAAAATGCTCATCATCACTAATCATTAGAGAAATGCAAACTAAACCACAATGAGATACCATCTCACATCAGGCAGAATGGCTATTACTAAAATGTCAAAAAACAACTAGCAAAGTTGTAGAGAAAAGGGGACACTTACACAATGACACTAGCAAAGTTGTAGAGAAAAGGGAACACTTACCCACTGCTGATAGGAATGTAAATTAGTTCAGCTACTGCAGAAAGCAGTCTAGAGATGTCTCACAGAACCTGAAACAGAACTACCTTCCAACTTAGCAATCCCACTACTAGGTATATACCCAAAGGAAAATATATCTTTCTACCAAAAAGACACACGCACTCATTTGTTCATCACAGCACTATTAACAATAGCGAAGACCTGGAATCAACCAAGATGCATATTAAGGTGCACTGGATAAAGAAAATGTGGTATATATACACTGTGGAATACTACCCAGCAATAAAAAAGAACAACATCATGTCCTTTGCAGCAACATGGGTGCAGCTAGAGGCCACTATTCTAAGTGAACTAGCACAGGAAGAGAAAACCAAATATCACAAGTTCTCACTTACAAGTGAGCTATATATTGAATGCACATGGACAAGAAGGGAACAATATACATTGGGTATTGCTTGAGAGAAGAGGCTAGAGAAGGGAGCGTGTTTTGGAAGGCTACCTATTGGGTACTGTGTTCACTAACTTGGTGATGGGGTCATTTGTACACCAAGCCTCACTGCCACACAATTTACCCATGTGACGAGCCTGCACATGTACTCCCTGAACCTAATTTTTTAAAAAAAGCAGGTAATTATTCTTCCCATGCGTGAAGCCAACCTGAAAATAAAACTGTTTCATGCAGTGGGGCAGAGCCAAGAGAGCCACAGGGAACTCACAGGGATCTGGATTTTCAGTCTTGAAAATACAGTGGCCTCTGGATCAAAACAACATTATTTCTGATCATTCTACTTACATGAATTTTCTCATTGTTTCTTGATATTTTGACTTGAAGTTTTAAGTAGTCTGCCACCAAAGGCATACTACTATTACACAAGCGTATGCCTTGTATATATTAAAACATATACTGTCATCTAAAAAGTAACATCTTTCTGTTGTATATTCTCTTCTTTTGCTGTGGTTTCCATTCTCCTCCATGTCTACTTACTGCGTATTATAAGGCATGCTGTGCTGGATAGAGCTGATAGTCAAGCATGGCATTTTTATTCCCACATGCATATATACCCCCTCTTCCAAGTTTCACTTCTGTGCTTTACTTAGTTACCACCTACTACTTCTTTGGATATTCCAGAGTACTAACAGTGTAAAATTTAACTTTCTTAAATTTTTTAAGCTTTGGCTTTCTTATCTTTATAATCGGCATTGTCCAATACAGTAACCACTAGCCACATGTCGCTATTGAAATGTGTCTGGTGCAAACTGAAATGTATTCTAAGTATAAAATATATACTTCTGAGAGATTTCTTATAAAAATAATGTAAAACATTTTATTAATATTATTAAATATTAAATATATGTTTCAATGATAATATTTTGGACATATTGGGTGAAATAAAATATATTATGTTTACCTATTTACTGTTTACAAAAGTAATTTTTTTAAATTTAAAAAATTGTGGAGATTTTAAGTTGTATATTTGAATCACATAATTCTATTGAGCAACACTGTTTATTATGCTGATAATAACATATGCATCATAGAATTATGGTAAAAATTAACAATAAAATGTGAAACTATTAACAGAGTCAACACATAGTGAAGACTCAATAAACATTATCTATTTTATTTTCTTCATATAAAATACACATTAATAGTAATGAAATATTAACAGTATATGTGAAAAAGTAGTTTGCATAAATTTCTAATTTATTCAGAAAAATCAATCTCATATTTTTAATATATGTAATTCCATGTTGTATAAAATAAAGCTAAAATATAGCTTAAATTAGTGACTTACTTATAAATATTTTATAAATGTCTATGAGATAAATACTGTCATTGTTCAAAAAATAAATTAATAGTTTAAGAAAAATAAATATACCAAATGTGACAAGATGATCCACTTTATTTGGACAGTTTATTAGAGAAAGCATGACTCTCAAATCACATTCTTGTAAGTTTCCACTAGAGTCATTCATTGACAGTTGAGTAATTCGTTTAAGCTACATCTACCATTAGCATAGGCTATAAACCAAAGCGTGGGAGGAGGACAGTGTTTAATATTTTTATTCAGGAAATATCTTGACACATCCCAATGAGTAAAGTGTTTTCATAAGGCCAGAAGGGAGTCCTGACAAGTGGGAGTTGAACCACTCTCCATTGTAGCCACACAGCCAAACAGGTAACACAGATGGGATGCAGACTGACGAGGGAAAAGACAGCTGTTGCAGAAGAGAGACTGCTTGAGTGTACAAGTAAAATAGAGGGTCAATGTGGTTGGATAGTCACAGTGGAGGTAGTGAGGCTTCCACTATCTCCTACTTGAACTCAATTGTTAGACTGTACAGAATGTGTCTTAAGCAGTATGTTAAATAAAAAAAAAATGACAGTACTGATTTGACGAACTTATTATAAACACTGTGTAAACGCAAGAATGGAACATGTAAATGCAGTAAGGGACCCAAAGAAATTAATCAACAAAGTCCTTAAAGTAGAATGCAAACAGGGGGAATACATTGTTAAGCAAGGTCACCGGTTCCTCAAGAAAGAGGAACTGCAAGGTGACAGTACAACTGCTCTGTACATTTCTATTTGTTGCATCTACTTCTGCTTATTCGGTGTATAGTAAATTGCATATAGTTTTCATCCTATAATGAGAATGACAATCCTTTTTTGGATATCTAACTTGCACAGTTAAATAACATTTTCAGATATGGTTATAGCCATCTAAATATGGTGAATACTACTGAAGTATTATATAGAAAATTTTGGAGTGTAAATAGGCAACAGGTAAGTATTGCCTATTTATATACTGAGTCCTTACTTACTGGTCTATTGAGGCTAATTTCTGACTGAATAGGCTGTATGTTACATTATTATTTCCCTTTTTTGTTTTCTTCTGAGTATGACTTTTTCCCTTTGGTCTCTAACTCTTTCTCCTTAAAATTATGCCCCTTTGGTCTCTAACTCTTTCTCCTTAAAATTATGCGCCACCTCCATATAGTCACAGTCAAACAAATTGTATTTGACAATATATTAGTCAGAAACAGTGGAGTTTATAGAAGTTCCCATTTCTCTCAGTTTGGGCTCCTGGGAGGAATTTTCTGAGATGGAGTTTAGTGTAAAGGAGATTTATTAAGCCATATACTTAAGATCAAGACCTGTAGAATGCAGAGGGAGGAGGAGGAGGAGTGGGTGGGGGGAAATTGAGCTGCAATGCAGGCCCAACAGAAGCCTTGGCCAAACCTGGGGAAGCACTGAAACTAGAATAACACTTCAGTTGTGTCCTGAGTTGGAGAGGTAGCCAGGCCTTTAAGTCCTGTCTTGAATGTTCACGAGATTTGGTCACCTCTGGGAAGAGCATAGCCTCAGGTAAATCTGCTTTGTTTCACTACTATACACTAGAGTATTTGTCATTTAATATTAACCAGCTACAGAATGTTTTCATCAAGTATATATATATATATATATATATATATATATATATATATATATATATAAAATTTTAGAATTTTGGCCTGCAGAAATAAGTCAATAGGGCACTCTGCAATTGTAGTCATATTATGTGGAAAGTTAACTATTCAGAATAGCTACAACACAATTGTACATTATGAGAGAATGACAGATGTATTAATAATTGAAAGGCTTTCTACCGTAAGTGGGATCATACAGGTTTACTCCACCCTTGAGGTTTAGATTAAATTATTTTATGGCAGGAGATAACACATTTATTAACAATTTGGTGACAAGTCCTTCCTCTCATTGTTAGATTTATGTTTTCCACTCAAGTCTTTGCATGGCTTCAGTTTTCTTCACATTGAGCCTAATGTGGACTCCCAACCCTTTTCTTGGATTTTCACCTAAACACTCATCATTCGTATGAGATATGTGTAGGTGTGACAGATTTGGGGAGACAAAACACTTTGCATCACAGAAATAAAACAAACTATTAATAAATGAGCAATTGCTCTAAAAAATGCCTTTTCTCAGCCATCATGTTCAACCATTTTTTTCCCTCTTTCTTTCTCTCTGTCTCTCTTCTAAGACTCAGTTCTCAGGTATCTGCTCATATATATATATATATGTATATATATATTTTCATTTTGCTATACAGATGAATTTAACTTTTTACTCTGTTATTTGAAGTTTTTTTTAAAGATGATGCACCATTGTTTTACAGTTCACCTCCACTGGTTTCCAAACTCAGTAGTACAAAAATACAAATAGGCACTGAAATTTGAATCTTTACTTTTCTTCATCACCTAACAGTCTGTGAGAGCAAGTGAGTAGTGACATAAGGAACTTTTCTTCTAGTAATCTTTACTTCATACTTCTTTGGAGGCAGAAGTGGCCACAGTCAGGGTTTCTAGAGTATCCCTGTGATATCAAACCAAGACAAAACTTTAGCTCCACCTCTACATCTTCTCTCACTGTCCCAACTTTCCTGATGGCATTCATGTTGAGAGAGAAGGAGAAAGGCTGTGAGGTAAATTAAAGTGAATGAAATATGCAAAGATAAAAAATTGTTTTCAAATGGCTTAATAAATAATTTATAGGAGGTTGTCTTGCTTTAAATTGAGGAAGTTTAGTACAGGTAAAATTAAAAAGCAGTAAGTGGAACCAAATAATTTTTTTTTCAATTTAAACATAGAAATTAGAATTTCAAAGATAGAATAATATGACGTGTTTTAGGGAAGATTACTCTGACATTTGCATGCATGGTAGACTACAGTGAGAAAAGAATACACATTTGAACTGAAGCCTTATGAAGGAAAGGAAAGCAATAACTATAGCTACTTTTTGATCTTCAAATTTTTTTTAATGAAGAAAGGATCACAAATTAGAAATATAGAGAAAGAGTTCATAAAACCACTCATGGTAAGTAACTTTTAGAGATTTCAATGAAGTGAATTTTTAGGATTGGTCTTTGAACCAAATATCCCTAAGTCTAGATACAGGAAACTAACCATCCCTAAGTCTAGATATAAGGAAAATAAGGATCAATTCACAGTACTTGATTTTAGTCATAATATTATTTTAACTCAAGTGTCTCATACATTACAATTTTTGAAGACATTTTCTATCAAGATTTTTCAGGACGTTAGTCAAACAGAATGTGGCTAAAACTGATTTGTGCAATCAACTGTTAGTAAGTATTAAGTATTACTAAGTATTAGTAGTAAGTGTTACAGACAAATTTGTTTTTAATTCATGTACCCTATGCTGCTATAAAAGTGTTTAATATTTTCTAACAGCTATAGTTCCTATTCAAAATGTCTCATGAGAAGCTACTTAGAAGAAGGCTTTCTGAATAGCTTATCATAGGAATGATAAGCTCATATTTACATTTTTTCCACATACTTGCATTAGTTAGTGACTTTATAAAATTATGTCAGGAGTTGTGTGCAAATGGTTAGTGACTTTAAAATCATGACTTTAAAAAATTGATAACAAGGCTTATTTCTTGTATATAATGTTCATTAGCACTACCGAGGATTAATATAGTATTTTTCACAATAATAGAAAAAGAAATAATTGATCAAATATATTCTAATTATCAAGGTAATTTTCAGAAATGATAATCTGTTTTTCCTGAGTTTTGCTAATGTTTGTCATTTCAGCGTGTGTTCAAAATACACCAGCTACTTCATTTTCAAGGAATCTCTGAAAGTCCATTATTACTCTTGATTTTCCACAACACATTTATTGAAATTACAAAGCAAGGAGTTATTTTACTTTCTAAATGGAGAATTCTTAAATTATCTTAATTCAAGTTTCTGTGACAAGCAATTTCTATGAAGCCACAACAATGAAGACCTCTGCTTTTGGAAATGGTGAATCATTTAAGACCAGCCTTCCCACTGAGAACAATCAGAAAACTGGTTAAATAAGTAAATAAAAAAAATGTGTGTGTGTTTGTGTGTGTGTGATAGTATCAGACAGTAACCAAAGCAGTAAGGATACACAGAGCCTAGTTGTCAGAGAAGAAGAGATGAGAGAGGTGAACTTAATATTTGGTGCAACTGTCCCCCTTCAGGCATTTGCCAGTTGGAAGGAGATTATTGAGATATTGATAAAATGAGTAAATCTTACATCAAATTCATGGGCTTATATAAATAAACATTATAACACAGATCATGCCAAGGAAAAAAAAAACATCCAAGGATTTCAGTAAGGATCATGAAGGGACACACACATTCACAGAGACTAAAGCCCATCTCCAAGTCCAATATTTGAGTGGATTAAGGTGCTCAACTCTTACTGACATGCCTGCTAGAAGCAAACATAAACATACTTGGGAAAAAAATATCATAATCTAGAGGACCAGATGATCACTACCTTTTATTAAATCTACCATGTTTGCCCCCACATTAATTACCATGCAAAACACAAGATTTGACGAAAGTCAAGTTAAAAATATATGCAAGAAACAGACCATAAGAAGCTTGGATATTGAAATTATCTTACATGATTTTTCGAATAAACATCAAGGAATTCAATGACAAAATACATAATTTTGCTACAGAAATGGAAATTACAAAAATATATTGAAGAGAATAAGAATATATATAAATTATTAATTTTTATATTAGAACATAATGGGTAGTTTAAGAACAGAAACATAATATTGATGAGGACGCCTCTGAATAAAAGATTGGTGAAAATTTTACAGCCTGAAGTGCAGAAAGAGAAAGAGCTATACACAGCACACACACAAGATTCTAAGAAACACACATGGTCCAACACATATAGTCCTAGAAGGAGAATAAAAACTAAGGGCAGCAGCAATATTTGGAGATACAATGGTTATGAAATTTCCCAAACTGACAAAAGTGGGCAAGCTGCAAATTCAAGGAGCACTACCAGCACTAAACAAGAATGCAGCAACAAAAACAACCAGTCAACCAAAAAACCTCATGCACATCATAGTAAAACTGACAAAGAAAAGTAAAACAAAACAAAACAAAAATTAAAAACAGGCAGAAGAAAATATGTAATATTTAGAACATAGCAAAATTAATATAACTACCAACTTCTCAACTAAATAAGTGGTAGTAAAAAGAAAGTGAAAAATTCATTCATAGATAAAAAGACTAATCTTAATATAATAATAATGGAAATTATTAGAATCCCTAAATTTCAAATAAAATAATCTTGAATTCCTGGGAAAATATTTTTATTTTGTTTTGCCAAAGGCCTTATACTTTTCAAGTATTTCCTAAGATGCGTAATATCAGAAAAAAATATATAAGCAAATTTCTTTCCATGTGACCAGTTTAAGAAATCATAAACTCTGAAAAGCCAAAATGCATTCAAAAGAAAAGACAATTTAGAAAGAAAATTCAGGCATCTATTATCTCTATCTTAGATTTAAAAATAAACCGTGAATGACAAAACTAGACATTCTCTCTGTACTGTTACTGAGAAATAAAAAAGCTGAGCTAACGCATACTCAAAAATACAGATGCCAATTTATGTAAAACACTGTCTGACAAAAAGAAAGTGAAAAAGAAAGTGAGTTTAAAAGTTGATTTACTGTGTGTTTATTCTAAACGTAAAAAAATAAAAACAAATGAAACCATAATAATTTTGTTTGTAATGTTACCTTAACTAAAACCCTTCACAGTTTACATATGCAAGATCATTATTTTATCAAAACTTGTAATTACAAAATAAACTTTGAACTTGTACAGTCTGCATCTTCCAAAAATACTTTTTAAGCCTATCTTTATTCTAATGAAGAATCATTGACAATAATCAGAAGATGGCCTGATGGAATTTATCATATGTATTCTGTATATTTTCTTCAGTCTTAACATGTTCAGTCTTAACAGTTTCTCTCTCTCATTAAAAAGGATTGAATTTTAAAAGGCAGGACATTTTAAAAATTACTTTAAACCAGTTAATACTCATTGTATGCATGTATATGGCTGAGGGTCACGGTAGTTGGATTCCCAAGGCTCATAAGGATGTTTTAGGCATGTATAAGCAGAAGCATAACACATCATTCATTGCCAGTGGTACACTCCTGTGTGTGCTCTTGAGTCAGAATAATCTGAATAATCTGTGTTCAAATTTGTGCCCTATGATTTATAAACTGTGTTTTCTTCATTTACATCTAAAGTCTCAGTTTTCTCCTCTATAAAATAATACCTATGTCATGTTGTTTTGTAATGATTGAATGTAATAATTCACAAAATAATCTACTTAATATAGTTCCTAGAATATAATGCACACTAAATTCATATAAGTTGTTTTTGTTATTGGATTTTTCTTCTTATTATCAAATATAGTGAAAATCACAGACCCAGTCCTTTCCACATTTTAAATGGTTGAATTACAAGTCATTAATCTAATTGGAAAACAAATAAGACTTAGTAAAAAAAAGAGGAATGAGTTGAGTTCAACCAATTTATTAGCATTTGATCTTTTGCAATTTACTTAATTTCTCCAATAATTGTAAACTAGAAATAATAATAATAACTTGACTCATAGCATGAATGAGAAATATTGTGGTGGTGCTTAAGATACTAAAGGACACATAACAGAGACTCCGTTATTGGTAAGTTTCTCTCTCTTTTAAAAGTTTATTCAATTCTATACCTGACAAAGAGACTGTTTTTTCCTGTAAGTGATAAAAAATTTTGAGGTAAAACTTGGTCTCATGTACATCAAGCGCCAAATGTCATTTTGAAAAACAAATAATTGGGAAGGATAGACCGGCTTATGAGTATTTTTAAAATTCTAATACAAATACAGTTTCCCAAAAAAATAAACTATGAAGCCTTTATAGAAATAATAGCTATATTGTACACATGCTTTTGAAATTTTCCTTAAATTCACAATGAGACTGAAACTGGGGTATGAGCCTAAGGTTCTCAAACCCCATTTTGTTCACAAAATTTTTATGCTTAAAGCATTGGACAAATAAAATTTGCATCAGTGATTCTGATTCATAACATTCACATTCATAGCCTTAATTGGTTGGATTTTACTCAAAAGTTAAAGTTGCTTGATAAGGATTTTAGCTTAGGGAAGTTTTTTACAATTCACATTACTCCATTCAAATAATTTCTCTTTAGGCTTTTGGATGGGTTTGGAGAGACAAGGAAAGAAAGATCACCAATTATGTATTCCACCCATGGCAACGGGGAATTTATTTGGGAATTTATAGAACAAAACAATGATTATCTTAAACAAATGAAGATTTAATACAGTGTTTAAAAATGTGTTGGTTCATGTTCTAATTGGAAAATAAAATTTGCAATTAGCAAAATTATATTTCCATTTAGACACTACAAAATAAGACATATCCAAGTGTACCCAGGGAATCTTTCTTTTGATTATTTCTTTTGCAAATCCATTAAGCTCATACAACCTTTGCAAATAATGTGACTGATAATTTATGATGTCTATGCTTTAATTATTAGATAAATGGGCAGATTAAAAAAATAAATTACTCCAGCTAAACTTTATTTGACAAGTATGTTCAATTTATACTGTAGTACTTTTAGTCTAATTTATATATGTTATTTTTTACACATATATAATATAATTAATTATAAACACTTGACTATATTTTTCAAAAAAAATTGATTGAGTTTGTACTGCAGATTTGTGTGATTGAAAAGTGTAGTTTCACAATGTGTACCTAAAATGAAAATAATGTTTGGAAAAAATAATTACTTTGAAAAATTTCTTAATTCTTAAAGTATTGAGATTATACATGTCACTTGCCAATAACATTACATCATGCTGAGGTGGGCTTGACGTAGTTGTAGACCTGGACCACGTAACTAAAGTTACATGGTCCTTGAGTCATTGAGTCATTGAGTATAATGGCAGTGAGAGTCTCTCTCTCTCTCATTCTGTTGCACCCTTGCTCGCTCTTGCTGTTAATCTCTGCTGATTCCATATAGTTAAATGTGTGATTGTTATATTTCCACAGTAACAGATATAGTACCATGTTTTTGTATGTGTGTGCTATTCTAGTCCGTACTGAAAGGTTACAAATCAGAGTTTAAACCAAATTTCAGAAAGCAAGGTATAATCTAAATGTAGCTTTAAACATAAACATGTATGTATATACACACATATATATATACATGTGTGTATATATGTGTGTATGAATATATACACATATAGCTTTCTTCTCTTCCCAAAAGTCCTAGCCCTGATTTTGACACTTTTAATGTGCTGCAGAAAGCTGAAAGTGTATGAATAGTGATAAGATTTGTGTTTTTAACTTTATAAAACATTAGGTGGTTTATAGTTAGGTTTTTAACCTTTTGAAAAATTTAACCTTTTTTAAAGTGCTGAATTAGTGCACTGTAAGATTAAAAGAAAACATAAAACGTATTAACTCTTGAAATCTAATATATGACTTGACCAAATGATGATAATATCTGTTCTAAGAACTAAGCTAGTTTGGCTTTTGTGAAACCCCTAGGTTCATATTATGCATGCAGTACCCTGTGTAACTTTTAAGGATGACTAGTCATGGAATCTATTATCTATTCCCATTGAACATGATATTCTAGCATAAATTAGATTTTTCAGATTTCATACAAGGTGAGGTTGGGTAGATGTTTAACTGTGGCAAAATATTCAAATATTCAGGTCTTTATAAAGCCCATGATAAACTATTATGAGTAAATGTACTATTTTACTAATTTTTTAAAGCAGAAATATCCTATACTTGCCTGTACTCTGGCATTAGAAGTTTTAAGAATGTTTGAAATGTAGAACTTTCTTACATAAATACTTTTTTCATCCAAAAAAATTTAATTAACATATAGAGTGTGCAATAATGAACATCAAATCAGTATCTTCACACTTGCTCCCAACTTGCTTATCTAAATTATTTTACTCAACCGAGTCTTGAGATCTTGTAACTTCTTGCTAAATGTGCGATTTTTAAAATATTCTATTTTATCTTATTTTATTGCCAAAGGTCTGCTTTGTAAGCTTCAGGTCATGTTTCCCCCCAAACTCTAGGTAAAATATATCCTTGGCTGTGTGCTTGGTTCATTGGATCTTTTAAAATTGATAACTCACTATGTAAATTTGAACAAAAAGGAAAGCGGATGATACTATTTCTTTCTGTTATGTTACACCCCTGTAGAGTTTCCTCAGCGTGCCTTTCTCTTATATCTCCAAGGTATCTGTTCTGCTGATTAGTCACTTTTGGTCTTTCTGAAATCTTGCTCTCTCTCTCTCTCTCTCTCTAGGCCCCTCTTATTTCTAGTTATTTCTTGAGTAAACCTTTCCTCTTATCCAATTCTTAAATTTACAACCATAGTCATGTTACCTAAAGTGACGAATTACTTGCAAATTTTTAGGAAACGTCTAACCCCAACTTTCTAATTATAATTGATGCTACACTCTTGTTTCGTGTTGTAGCTTACATATACTAAAATTAGCTAATCTAGAGGGAATCTGAGAGTCCTACTTAGTGACAAATAACTGAGTTTTATTACCAGAAGAATAATTGAGTATGTACATTTATAGTAAATCAGTTATGTACATGGTATTGAAGAACTGGGGAAAGAGAACTGTAACACATTTGTTCCTGCTAATAGACGTGATTCAACCCTTGCTGAAAATTCTCCTTACTCAGAATTTTGGCATTCCATTTATATAAACGGCTGTTCCACCTTAAATTTCTGGTGAGATACATTCGTCTTACAATATACAATAAAATGTAAGGAAAAATGCTGTATTACTAGCTTTCAAAATGTGCAGTATATAAAACAGATGGCTGAAGCACACCAATACATCCATTGTGAATACCAGGCTGTCACCACACCTCTGGCACATCTCCTGCAAGCCCTACTTCATCTGTCATTATTAATACACTTCATTTTAAAGAGACATAAGACAGAGTAGACCACGCTCCTGAATACATTTTCCTGCTTAAAGGCCTCAAATGTGCTCCCATTATTATTTTAAGTAATTAACTCATGGTATTGGGCAGGTTCTGGCCCAGAGATAAACTTTAATGTCTTCTCTAATGTTTTAGTATCTCTGGTATGCAGGTGATAAAAAAACAAAGTCCACATTCTAGATAAACCTTGAACAACTCCCTGAAATAAACTTACTCCTGTTGAAGAGAGCTGTCATTTTCCTCTCATCTCTTGGGCAGCAAGATTTGGGAGGTCTCCTTTCAAATTAACTCTAGAGGACTATGTTCATTGCTCATATGGGCTACGTTTACTGACTTAAGAGCTTGTGCTCCACCAGTATCTGCCTCTCTTAAGTGCTGACAGATCTGCAATTCCAAGTGGGTTTTAAAATTCAGAATATTCTATTTTTTTTAATAAGATTATTGCCACGAAAGGGGCCGGCCACTCAAATATTCAAAGAGAGTACAATGAAGATGCAGCCTATGAAATTGCAGTTTTGTTAATGTGGTTATTCAATTTCAACCTTGGACCTTGAAAATAACTTATACTAGTTCATTGGAGGAGTTCTGAATTGTGAATTACAATTACAGAAGTTTTCATAGAGATACTTTTTGCAAAGGGCTTATTATTTGATA
The DNA here is from genome assembly GCF_000001405.40 of Homo sapiens. NCBI lineage: Eukaryota > Metazoa > Chordata > Mammalia > Primates > Hominidae > Homo > Homo sapiens. Next base: position 85,584,037 of record NC_000007.14, read on the forward strand.
AATTATACTTATTTTATGTATTAACTATATAAATGATTGCACTTCCTATGCAACTTATGAGACCAACATGGCCCTGATACTAGAACTTGATAACAATATTACAAGAAAATATCATAGGCCAATATGCCTCATAAATATGTCTAAAAATTCTTAATTAAATATTACAAATGAATCAAACAATATATAAAATTGATAACACATCATCATCATAACCAAGTGGGACTATTCCCCAAATTCAGTTAAAGTCTACATAGTAAACCTCATTAACAGAATTAAAGAGAACACCATTTTTAATCTCACTAAAGAAGCAGTATCTCTTTATAATATAAAATTTATCTCAGTAAATTCAAAATGTAAAAGAACTTCCTCCTTCTAATTAAGGGCAAATATGAGAAAAAATTTTAACATCGTAATTAATTGTGAAATATTAAATATTTATCATTGGCTATAAATAATGCAAGGATATTTGTTACACTTGCAATTAGGCAAAAATTAGAAATAAAGAATTAAGAGAAGTAAATTTTCATTGATTACAGATGTTATGACTTACACATAGAAAATCTTTAAAAATATATAAACTATTACAAATAATAAATGAAGTTAAGAAGCCATGAGGTACAAGATTAACATAAGGTACAGTTATTTTGTTATATCTAATAGCAATAAACAAAAAATTATTTTAAAATATGCTTTAATAGTAGCATGAAGAAACATCTGATGATGAGGAATGACTAATAAAAACTAAATAAGACCTCAATACTGACTCTGTGAACAATGTGAAAATAAATTAAATACATAAATAAAAACAAAGATAAGCCATATTCATGGGTTGGAAGATTCTGTATTATTATTTTGATTCCCTCTAAATTGATTCATACATTTAGCCATATTCCTGATTAAAATTTCAAGAGGCTCCTTTGAAGAAATAGACAATTCTAAAATTACATGTAGGTGAAAGTATCTAAAATAGCCACATCCTGAAAAAGAATAATGAATTATTTTATATATATCTTATAAATAATGTAATTATAAAATATACCACCTGAATTAAAGGTTCACTATAAAGCTACAATACAGACAATGTGATCTTGGCACACAGGTAAGCAAATACATCAGTGTAGCAAACTAAAGAGTTTTGAAATAAATCTATCATCTATCTATGTATCTATCCATGTACCCATGTACGTATCTATTACAAATAACACTATTATTGCAAATAATAAACTATTACAGATAATAAATAAAGTTAAGAAGACACAGGATACAAGATCAACATAAGGTACGCTTATTTTGTGATATCTACTAGGAATAAACAAAAAAATTTAAATTGCTTTAATACTAGCATCGAAAAACATATATATGGGGTCAAAGGTTTTTCATGAAAGATGCCAAAAAAAAAAAAAAAACCTCAATGGAGAAATGACAGTTTTTTTAAAAAATGCGGCTGAACAACTGGATATTTATGTAGGGAAAATGATTATTGCAGTCTATACCCCCAAACTTGAGATAAATTGTTGATCTATACATAAATCCCAAACCATAAAACTATCAGAAACACAAAAGAATATCTTCATAGCTTTATGCTAAGAGAATATTTATTGACAGAACACAAGAAGCACAAATCATAAAAGAAAAAATATAAACTGGAATTTATTAAAATTAAATTTTTTTCAACCATAGAAAGATGTCATTAAGGAAATGAATAAACAAGTGACGGACTTGGGAAAATAATCACATAGATCAGACAAAGAACTTGTGTACAGAATACATAAAGAACTCCCATGAATTAGCAATAAACAATTTAACAGTCTCCAAAATGGTCAAAAGACTTGAATACATACTTTATAAACATAAGATACAAGTGGGCAATAAGCACATGAGAAGTTGTTCACCATTATTAGCCATTAGGGAAGTACATATTAAAATCACAATATAATATCACTACAAACCCAGTAAAATGACAAATAAAAATGACTGACAATAACATATTGATGAGAATTCCAGTAACTTTCATATTGTTGGTGAGAAACTAAGCCTATGAATTACTCTGGAGAACTGCCAACAATTTTTATTTAAAATTGAGTATACATCTGCCATATAACCAGGCAATTCAACTTTTGGTATTTACCTAAAAGGGATGAAAATATAGCCACACAAAAACTTGCACAAGTAAGTTCATAGCTTTATTCATAATAGCCCTCAGTTGGAAACTTTCCAAATGCCCATCAACAAAAGAAAAGATAAACAAATTTTGATACAGCCGTATTATCTAATATACTGAGAAGTTAAAACAACAACAAAAGGAATAAATCGCTGAACACTCAACAATAGGAAAAATCTCAAAATATTACGTAAATAAATGAAGCCAGATGCAAAAGAGTACAGAGTGATTTCATTCCTCTAAATACAAAAAAAAAAAAACAACTAATCTATGTCTTAGTAGTTATGATAATGACATGAGTCTACTTTCTGGGGGCTTGTAATTCATGCTCAATATTTTCATGAGAATGTTCGTTACATATTGATCAAAATATTGAACAGTTAAGACATTTTTTTGCTGGCTAACTGTATCTCCATTTAAAAAAAAGAACAGCGTACCATTTAGAAAATGGATGATCTAGTTTGGAAAACTGAACTATTTGATACTGTATATAGAATCACCACAAAATGTATTTTTTATATTGAATGTATGTCTATATTATTTTTAAAAAATCCAAAAATTCTCTTTCCTATTTTTGTATATTTTTATAAAACATTTATTTTCTCAACTTTCTTACTTCTCTTTGTAATACAAACTCATTGTAAAAAGGAAACTTAAGCAACATAAAAGTTAAAAAACAATACTACAACTTGGAGAACAAAATAAAACAAAGAAGCAAACAGAAAACCTCACTATTAACCACTTGGTGGATAGCCTTTTGGGTAGCACTCTGAGTAGTAGACAGCTTGATGGGTAAATTCAGATTAAAATGTGTTCATTAACACCAACACAAAAAATAAAAATGAATTGACTTAACCAACTGTTTGCAGAAATAAGAATATACAATGAGAGATAACTTTTAAATGAATAAAGGTATTATTTAATTAGTATTTAGACAAGCTTGCTTTATGACAAGTGGTTCCAATGGGACATTTGAAACTATACTCTAAAACCTCTTTAAATCTCTTTTTGTTCCCCTTAGAGATTAGCCTACTCTATGGATGTTTTACATCCATCTTTATGGACACTCATTATAACTTTCCTACATTTACTCCTTATGTGTTGAAGTTTTCCAGGGACCCTCCTTTGATCACTTTAGTACTCTCCCTTGGTGATGTCATCCACAAAAACAGAACTCATAAACACTCATACACTGAGGGTCTCAAAATGTGTTTCAAGCATAAATTATTGCTCGAGGCTTGGAGATAGCATTTTACTGTCCACTGGCATTAACAATTCAACATATTCAAAATAAACCCTCTACCTCTGCGCACCTGCTTCTTAGCCTACCTTTTTTTCACTTAACAGAATAAATGGCATAAACAGACACTTTCCTGTACATAACAGAAACTAAAGAGTCCTCTTTATTTCTTTATTTTGATTTTTTTTTTTACTCCTTAACAGCCATACACCACAACCTTCCCAACCTATTTTCTGAATTTCTTATAAACAAATTTTCATTCTCCCTTGCTACTGACACTACATTAGTTCAAATCCTCAAGCTTTCTCTTGCCCCTGGTCAATACACTAATAGTGTTTTTTCTTTTATCCATTGGCTTCTTACTGGGTCTGTGTCATCTTCCACTAGTGAAAATATAAGAAGGCCATTTTCTATTTAAATCTGCTTATTACCCATTGTATTTTGGTAATTCTTACTCATTCTAAGAATCAGAATTTGCATCACTTTCTCAATGGAGATATCATTTACATTCCTCTTCTAACTCTAGCCTAAGGCAGGGGCCTTCTCCTTTGACCTAGTAGCATTCTTTGCATATCTTCTCAAAGCACTTATTAATCAAAATAATTTTCATTTGTCTATCTTTGCTTCTTTACATTGTCCTCTTTGATGACATGAGCTTTTTGGCATCTCTTTATAGTTAGTGACTAACTCTAAAGCAGTACATGGTAGATTTTGAAGAAATATTTTTAAATGAATGCCATATATTGAAACCATTTTTCCAAATAAGCATACACCTACATTAACACAGTAATGTTGAAGATTAACAGATAATTTTAGTCCTTCATATTGAATGCATTCATCATGTCAACAAACATTTATTCAGTGGCTCTATTATGACACCCAGGGTGTTTAGTGCTGTGCATGTGTGATGAATTACACAAGGTCTATAATTTAAAACCATTTTTATTCTGAAATAGAAAGATCCATGTAGATAAACTGTTATTGAACATTTTTGGAAGCATGAGATAGATAGCTCTGAAACAGAATGGGAGACTAATGGAAAATCTTCAAAATTAATCTTAAGTAATGAGTTGTGTAGAGGTAGTGTACAGATAGATTCGTAGAGTGGGTCATTTGAAATACAAGTGATTTCAACAAAGTCATGGAAGTGTGAACCATCCTGCACTTAGAGAACCTTTATTGTAATTTAGGATGGCTACAGTAAAGAGCAAAAAAGAAGTTTCTAGAAGAAATGAGTTTGGCAAAAGACAACCAGATTTTGCAGGCTCGTGTATGCTATGCTAAAGAGAGCAAAGGGGAGATAAAGTCAAGATGGGAAAGAGAAACAAAGCCATGAAAAGTAAGATAAGGAAAGGAAAAGCAGCTAATTCAAATGTGCAGAAGCCAGAATTGTAACTGAAGCACTAGCAAGGTAAAAAAGAAAAGAGAACGGTAGAGTTGTGGTTGAAATTGTGGAGTATGTCAGACAACGTTGCCAGAGAAGGATCAAAACAGGGTCAAAATCGTCTGCTTCAGATATTAGGCAGACTCATTATTCTGGCTATCTCTTCTATTTTAACTATTTGCTATACTGTTATCTGGATAACATGAAATGTGTTATGTTGCTGAACATAGGACTATTTGCATTTTTTTCCTAAAACAGAAGTCTGTCATGAAGAATTTCATAGAAAACCTACTCTAAAAAACAATTGATATAATTATTGGCAATTAGTGTATAGATGGATTTAATTTCCGTGTTTCTTTTAAAAATAAGTTCCTATACCCTCAAGTTTTTATTTGGAAAAAAATCAAATTGATGGAAAAATTTAAAAAATAGTACAACACTCATGAATACACCGTTCAACTACAATCATCAATAGTTAACAATTTATAAAGTCACTTTCTCTTCAGTTTTCTCTTCCTCTCTATTTACATGTATATTTTCATTAGCTGAAAATCCTTAGAAAATTAATGGAAGACTTTATGATATTTCACACGTAAGTACTTCGCAGGAAATTCCACAGGATGATTCCTGGTTGAGCTAGTTAAATAGTGAAATAGTTATTGGAAATGTTCCCCTGTAAATTATAGCTCTGGTTAAGTTCTTTAAGCTCCATCTTTCACTTCTTAACAGAAATGTATGCTTAAAAGGACTTTTTCTATGGCCCTTTCTAACATAGTTCCCAACTCTATCACCTCATTATGCACTATCTCAACAACCTGATTTTTGCTTTGCCAACATTATTTATTTCTTACTTATATATTTCTTTTTTCTGTATATAATAATATGTCTTTTATAAAGGAAAAAAAACCTTTGTTTTCTTCACCATTTTTGCATTAGGACTAAACTGACTTAATGCAAGACTCGGATTTAGAAACTACGTCTTCTACTTTTGAATTCACAAGTTTCTTTATATTTAATATCTTCATTCTATTTTCAGTTAAAAAAACACTCAGGGCATTTTTGCCTTTTTGCCATTTTCAGAATTAAATTTTGGATTCTAAACAACAATAACTTCTAGGTCTTTTAATAACAATCAAAATTTTCTCACATATTGGCATATTATGAAATGATGAGATTAATTCACTATTTTATTTTTAATGATTTTGTGTAAATTGAATATAAATAGGCAGTCTTACCACAGATGTTATTTGTGTTGGCTAGACATTAAATCACTGTATTTTGAATTTTTTATATAAACATTGAGATTTTGTTTGGAACATATTCAGGTAAACAGGAGCACATGGATTCTATTTTCCAGTGTAGAACTATTTGGAAAATCCTCTTAAGAACCCATGCCCAAAGACCCGATCACTTTCCATTTTGTAAGGCTATAAAGCTTAAAGTATTTCCATAATTTGCAAGTGCCGCATGTAACTCAGTAGGGTTTAAAATTAATGTTGCCTCTCAGATTTGTTTTTATAAGCACCTGAATTTGGAAATCTGTCAAGTGTTGTTTTGTGCTTGCTGGTAAGAAACATCTTGATTTAATTTAGCATATGTATCATCTAAAATGAACAACTTGCTATATGACAAGGTATCCTACGCGGCAAACGTATACCCACAATAGCCTTGACAAGCCCATGAGCAGCATTTCCATTCGTGTTGTACTGCAATCAGAGATGACCAGAATTGATCACAGAGTTGCTGAATGAGCTTTGAGACAGCTTCCCCTGCATACTATTGCCTAGCTCTTTAAATCCCCCTCCCCAACAAAAGGAAATTAAAAACCCATAATTTATTCTTCAGGCCTTCTTATGTTTGGCAAACACAAAAATTTAATTTTGTTGAGGTAAGCATGATTTTAGCATGGTTTTCAAATTATTGCTCTTCACCACTATAAACACACATATACTCATCCTAAATGAAAATATTCAGTCTTTCTTTCATCTGATTTTAGGTGAGATCATTTTTTCCTCCCATTCAGATTATGACAATATGCCTTATCTTATTTAAACTAAAGTATTATTATTGGTGGAGAACTGCTGTGTATAAGTCACTATGCTTGGGGCTTATGAATGTGGTGGAATAACACTGAGAATAAGATATATAATCTCTGCCTATAGGAGTTCACAGCAAAGTTACTTCATATGCATACACTTTTCATGTTTCAATATCTGCTGATGTCATTATAAAAATATGAAGTTCAGATATTACCTCAGACTCAGAAATCTGGCTGGCTTCTCTCTTTTAAGCATGATGGCTTACTCCTTATTCTACTAATATCTAGACACCAAACTCATATCCAATATCAACTTTACTAAATGATTCAATGTGCTGTTTAAAAGCTATTATAAGTATATTGGTAGTTTATAAAAGCAAATGAGCAATGTTAATATTAATACATTAATGTTTACTCAAGAAGAGTCTATTTTTAGTAATAAAAGTTCATCATAATAGGAATACGTCTTGGTACACTGGATAATAATGAATTGCTGAATATATATTTTAAGTCACAAAAAATGTCAGCATTTGAAACTTAAGATATATACTTAGTCTAGACAGAGAAGTGAAGAGAAGTTGGCTTAAAGAAAATGAATTTCATCACTAAACAAGCACATCAGAGCCTCGTGGTTGGGTAGGGCAAGTAAAAGATTTCCCTGTTCATCAGTTCCCAGGTTGGAAGGATCTATGTCTCTGAACTTCTTAAAGAAGCAAGGATCTAGGCCGGGAGCGGTGGCTCACGCCTGTAATCCCAGCACTTTGGGAGGCCGAGGCGGGCGGATCACAAGGTCAGGAGATGGAGACCATCCTGGCTAACACGGTGAAACCCCGTCTCTACTAAAAAGACAAAAAATAAAAAATAAAAATTAGCCGGGCGTGCTAGCAGGCGCCTGTAGTCCCAGCTACTCGGAAGGCTGAGGCAGGAGAATGGCATGAACCAGGGAGGCGGAGCTTGCAGTGAGCAGAGATGGTGCCACTGCAGTCCAGCTTGGGCGACAGAGCGAGATTCCGTCTCAAAAAAAAAAAAAAAAAAAAAAAAAAAAGAAGCGAGGATCTAACCACCCATGAATTAGGAGAGAGAAGGAAAGCTCTTTCCATTACTGACTGCCAGTCACTGTTGAGTGGTTAGTCACATTTGCCTTGTAAGCAAATAGCCTTAGTGATTCTTGTTTCTCTTCTTTCTGATATCTGAATCCTGATACCCCTTTAACTGAGTAAAGTAAATTTGCTTTTATTGTATAGCAACAGATAAAATGTTTAAACTGGCAGTGTTCCTGGGTTCATGGTTTTGAAAGTAACCACATCAAAGACAATCCTCAATCTTCTATATCTCATTGTGGAGAAGGTGAATAAACCGGACAGCTTCAAATGTCTATATTTGAGGAAGAGATAGAAACCTTAAGATAGACAGGCTTTTCCCCGTGCTTAATATTGTTTCTGTTGTAACAAAAAGGGAAAACAGACATTTTACTTGAATCTATGTTAGGCATGATGACACATGCTGATAATGGCTCATGAGTAAAAATATAATGTGAATGACTTATTCTGAAGGGGCCTAACATCCAGAAAATATTTTAATTCAGATAATATTGCTAATATTTTTCTGTTTTTCAATGTTTTTCTTGGCACTAGAGATACTGAGAGAGAAAAAAAATCCACTTCTGCCCTTGAAGAACTCAAAGTTTGTGGGATTTTAACAGGTATGTAAATATGTGCAATTTTAAAAGATACCTTCAAAAGGTCAAAAGTATAAAGAAAAGGGGGAAACTAACTGTGGGAATGGTTTAAGTCTGGAATGGGTTCTTGACATCCTGGATATAGGATTTTTTCTCAGTCATGGTTCTTAGACTTTTGTTACTACTTACCAGTTAATAAACACCAGCAAACTACAGCACATATGAATCAGTTTTTAAGTAGTATTAATGGAAGTAATTGGAAGTGGTGAATCATCCTACACCACCATCTTGCCTTTTTTGTACCGTAGGATATAATTCCTTTTGCAGAGTTATAATAGAGTCATATTTCTGCTGGTAAAAGTGTTTCCACTTCATATGAGATAATTAAATATATCAGTATTTCATGGTCTGTTGTTATGGCTATGAAAATCTCCAAAGAACACTATGACTTCCAGGTGCTTTTCCATATTAGCACGGGGCCAGATGATGTTTAACATGTATTCCAGCTCTATATTTTTGTAATTACTTGATTCACAATTAGGTATGATGTAGTCAAACTGAAATAACACATCAACGCAGACTTTCAATTAAATGACTTTCGAAAGTGACTTTCATAAAACTATTGAGGTATACTTTACATTAGATTTAACCTTTTACATTGCCTTATGCTTAAGAAAGATCACTAAATGATGGGTGAGGATGAGTAGTGAGGATGTCAGTCAGGATTCTGGCCAGGAAAACACACACTAGATAATTTAATAGAGAAAAAATTAAATATAAAAATAGTTTTCAGGTATTAGACAACTAAAAAGGCAAATGGAGAATATTGAGGTATCACAGATATAGCAAATGAAGAAAACAGTTACCACTACAAGGGCTGGGAAAACAAAGGGAAATGGTGGAATTTGGACTGCAGACTAGAACTTGAAGGAGAGGCCTTGTCTGTGGTGCTGGGGCCCAGATGCTTGAGAGGAGAACACTACTCAGCTGGTGCTTGTGCTTCAAGAGCTCAGATGAGAGCCCCTGTGCGATTGAGACAGAACTCTGTGGCCAGGGAGCCAGCCAATTGTTGCTGTATTTCCAAAGGGACTCAATGAGGCTAGTTCTGGGAGTGTGACACTAAAGTAAAGAACCAGAAAAGGGTAAAGAACTATTGCTGAAGCAACGCTGATGGGATCGGGAAGCAAACAACAGGAGTAAAATCCCTTTTCTCTCCCAGATTTCCCATCTCCCTCTAGTAAAACCTAACATGGAGCCACCTGGTAATTGAAAAATGTGTTTCTCAGAGTCCCACACTCAGCCTCACACAGCAAAGTACAGAAGGAAGCTGCAAAATAATAACTTTATAACCAGCACAGTGAAGTGGGGGGGCGGGGGGCGGGTGACAGGCATTGTAACAAAGATTTAGAGTACAAGTATACATTCAAAGGTAAAACTGGGGAAAATTGTTAAGCTATGAAAGCAAAAGCTGCACTTTTAAAAGCTTTATATTTCTACAAATGAACTTAAAATTACAGCTTATTTATCTCGCAGAAGAAAAAGAACATCAACTTCATTGTTATACTGAACAGTTTTTTAATAGTCAGATATTAAGTAATGACAATTAAGACCTACCAATTCTTTCTTTACATTAAATAAAAACTGAAGCCCTGGTACAAAGTAGTTTTTTTTTCTTTCCACAGGACTCACAAATACAGACATGCAAATACATACATGCAAATACAGATGCTTAAACAATTATTTTTTAATCTGATAATTTTATTTTCCAATATGGAACATTAGCAAATAATGGATATAAGTTTACAACATTTATTCCAGTAAGTTGTTTTGAGAATCAAAACCTAAAATACTCAGAAGATAAAATGCTTTTAAAAATATATTGTCATTTAATGAAAAACAAAGCAGAACATAGAGGTTTTCTTATGTTAAAAGAAAAGAACTATTGAAGTAGAAATTCACTGAAATATTTACTTACAACTTAGGTAACTCTGTGAGTGCAGTAAAATTTACACAATGTTATTGTATGGCTCTTGGAATGTTCCAGCTGCACTGACTGTTTAATTGATCTACCCATTTATTTTTCACTACTGAAAAACATTAATTAATAAAAATACTCAAACTAATCATTTGAGCATTGTGTAGACATAACAGATTTAAAAGCTATTCTGTATCTCCCAATTAATATAAGAATCAAGAAAAAAGTTAAAGTAGAAACTGTTAAATAGACAATGTTTGAGTAAAAAAAAAATCAATCACTATTTTTCCAATTTTATATAACTAAATATTAAATAAAGATAACTATGGTTTATTTCATGTAAAATCGAAAAATCTATATCCTTTTGCCCAAGCATATTGTAGATTTTAATCTAAGCTATCTTAATAGGATAATATACTATTTTATAATTTTGCTCTTTGTTACAATATTTCAGTGAGGTTGGAACAATTTAAATATTTTCTTATATGATTATGCACCTGTTGAAACTTATGTTAAATGCATATTTTTATCTTTAACTTTTTAGTTTAATTCATTTTCATAGAATGACACAAAAATGTTGAATAAACTATTTTATGCCAGCAGCTTCTGATTTAACATTCAGAAACCCAGAAAAAAAAAAACAAAACTTCTAAATTGTGCACAGGGATCATAGTCCTGAACTTGAAAAAACACTATAATTTATATTAAATGAATTACAGCTTTAATTATCATCTTGATGACTTCAGTCATTCATTCAATAATATTTTTAAACTAATATTTATATGGAGGACAGACAGGGTTCTAGGAGTCATAAGGAATTAAAAAATGTGTAATCTCAATCACCGTACATTCTCAAATTTCCAAGACATGTCAAATTAAAATATTTTGTTCCCATATGAGACCTGTGTATTTTAATATTTGGTTCATAAATATAGTCAACACAGTATAAAGCTTACTCCTTGCCCTTGAGTTCTTACAATTTAATGGGGCAGTAAATTGTGTAAAAGACTAAATGCCAGACAGCTTTCAAAATAGTAACCAAATTATTTTTTTAGGACATTAAGGGACAAACACATGAATTCCCAATGTCTTTATTACAAACTAGAATTCTTTTGAGCACTGCTGTTGGAATCTATAGTTTAGAGAATTGTCCTTTGCAATTGCTGTGACATTCTTCACTGTCTTAACAATCTGGTGGCTACCTTGTAAGCACTTGCCAGCTATTTAGTGATATACCTCAGGGGCCTATTGGAACTATTTTATATGAGAAGTCAGCAGTCTTGACAGCTAATAGAGCTTTCAGTGGCTGAATATGTCAAAGTTGTGACACCTGCAAATTCCTAAGATATTGCAAACTGAAAAATCTAGACAGGCAAATTAATGTCCATTATATGTAATTATAGCCTGAATTCCAGCTACCTTTTGGAATTCAGAGAGAGCAGCTGTTGCTGCTATATATTTGAAACCTTTTTCTGGAGAGAAAAGGAATATTTGTCCATCATAAACAGTCCTTAGTTTCTAAAATAAACATCTTGTTTCTCAAATATTTTGGCATAAAGTGAGCAATGAGTCATCAAGAAAAGATTTTCTTGCTCCTTTCTTGCAGATATTCTCCTGAATTGTGTCCTTGTCTTTCTGTTCTGTTCTCATCCATAGCTGAGAGAGGATTAGAGAGAAAATTTTTGCTTCCTGAAAGTGTCTTGTACTTAGTCAAAGAATTCTGTAAGTGATCTCATCAAGAGAGCTGTGAAAATATTGTTTATGATTATGAATTAAATATGACATATTGTCCACAAAAAGGTAATATTTTCAGTAGATTTTGTTCATTGCGATGATGATTAATTGGCATGTAAGTTATTCCAAAGCAGGCGGATTAACTTCAAGGTTTATCAATGCTTTCAGTAAACTCAGTACATGAGACACAATTTAGAAGCTTCTAAATCCTCTGGTACTTGTTTAAAATACCTTCCTTATTTAATAACTTTTTTTTAAAAAAACACCGCTAATTATTTTAGCTAAGAAAAATAATAAAGATTATGTAGGAAAAAAACGATTTGTAATAAATCTTTTCTTACCAGAAAAGAATCTTATTCATCTACCTATCTATTTTGTCATTTTTATTTGTAACTCTTGAAGGGAATTTTTAGTTTCTTTTCATCAAGTCACATGGGAAGTGTATAGATTGTCTGACCTCGTTCTTGTTATTCTTTATTAATTCTCTTCATAACCTAACTTACCTTTTTAATAAAGTTATTGAACACTTTACTTTCTTGAAATAAAGTATGCTATTTTACTTGAACAATATTCTTGCTTTTCTTCTGAAAAAAGGCAAATTTTGTTATATTTGTTTTCACCCTCAGATTTTTTTGAAAAAGTAAATCAAGACATTTTAGCCCACTGGTTAAATTCTTCTTACTATTCAGGACCATTACGTTGTCATCTGAATAACTGAGGACTACCTTTAATGAGGTGTGCGTGCCTGGTTGCATTAGCTGCCTAACAGATGTCTGAGTGATTAAAGCTCCCCTGAGTACCATAGCTTTGGTATTTCATTGAATCTCATTTGCTTTCTGACCTAGGAGTTCCACTGTATATTCCCAATTGATGCTTTATTTTTCCCTTTCAACTGTTAACTGGATGATCAAAGTAGTTTATAAATATCTTATTATCAAAGGTCATCTTCCTGGAGTTTGTACAAAATTATTCCTTTTATCTTTATCTCCTCTAAAAAATTCCAGTGTCAATGAAACAAATAAAAATATTTAAGAATTTTAAATACCCTATTGAGAGCAGGTGGTTATAGGCGTACCTGGTGTTTTGTTCTGAGTCCCAGAATTGTTGCAAATACAAAGTTGTGCTATTGAACAAACAGACAAAATAATCTTAAATATCTGTAAAATATAGCCAGGCTATGATTTGGAGGTGTCATTGAAATATCCCCACTTCACACAAAGAGCTGGCTTTTTGGACCTAGTTTATCTGCTTCAGAAAAAGGAAGGGGTTGGTTGACAGGATTTAAACCTGTGGCTCCAGGCAGTCTAGGCACTCTAATTTGGATTCTCAGATCACTAAGCCAAGTGTTGTAGCTCTCTGAAACTCTGTATTTATACATAGATAACGATTATACCAATCAAGTTGACATTCTAGCAATAAGAATTTCACCAAGCTTCACTTATACCTTCAAATGTGTTATTGTTTAATCTCATCATGTAAGTCAAGTTGAATGAAAGCCAGCCTTTCCTTTTTTTCCTTCCAATATCAACCATGGGTAATTTTATTTAGCTTTGTTTCTTGCATTTATAGACTCTATTCTCAAAAGACACTGGTACTAGTTTTGATGAAATACAATAATGCTGCTTTAACTATAAAAATATGGAAAGAAGTCACAGTTTTCTCTAATTGCAATAAAAATGATGTAGTATATTGAGATTGGTGTTTGTAAAGAAAAAGTTGTATAACATACATTGGGTGCAATTTTCATATTACATTAAAGGAAAAATCATTTCAAAATATAGTCTTATTTAATCCTCCTTTTCATATTCAGTTGGCTCTAAATCTATCATTCCGCATATTTGACCTATAATACAAGCTAAAGAGTAATTTTCTGGGCATCTAAAGTAGATAAATAGGAAAATATATCTAATATTTTATATTATAATTATATTATTTGAGGTTGCTGTCAATACAGACATTCCCCTCATTAACTTTATTCTTCATTTTACAAGATGTCTTAACAAGTTAATTCATTGATCATTTAATCTCTGTATAAAATTATGATAGGGAAAATGAGATAAGCATCAGGAAAGTTAAAAAAAGAATTTAATGGCAATTTGTAAAACATAAACTCAGAAACATATATAGAAATCTTCCAGTTGAAAAACATATCCATTGTTTATAAAATATAGTATTCAAAGTTTAATGTATATTGAATAAAGGTTCAATAAAAATAGCAGATAATGCTGAATACTTACTTGATATTAGCTATTTTATGTACATATATAATGTGGTAAGTGAAGTAAAACAACGCTAACCACTCGTCTGTGCTCCCAGTTATACTAGATGGCAAATTAACCTTATCTCTAGACTCTGCATAGCAGAAATTTATCAAGACATTTATATTACGATTGAACAGCTTCAAGTTTTAAGGCATTTTTAAAAGAATTTCTTCACTGAGGATGAGGCCTCAAGAAGTGACATTGCTGGCTCACTCTCCAGAGGAGGAAAAAAAGAGAAGGGTTGCACTTTGACCTTGCTGTCCTCTTTTTGAAGACTGTATACTCTGTTATTTTGATTTCTTACTGTTTAACTAAGGTGTTTATAAAATTATCTCATTTAAGGCAAATAATGGCAAGAATGTAGACATTATTTTTAATCATATGACTCCAAATTTGTCCTTATTTTTAATATTTCATTTGAATAAAAGTAAAACATTCACAGGTAAAATTAGTTGTGACATACCTTGCAACCATACTCTATGTCTCCTGTATATCATATCATACATTTCTATCATACATATTCATACATTTCTAGACAAGTTGAATCATACTAAAAAGTCAAATATACCCCACCCCAAATAAGCTGGAATAAAAGAGATTTATATTAAGTGACTAAAGATGAATTTGAAATGAGAAAATCTAAAAAAGATATTTTTGAATGGATTGTACTCCATAAATGAACAAGTTAATAAGTAGAAGCTTTCAGAATTCTCTTATGTGCAAAATATATCAATTATGGCTATTTCCTTTTAGATTTTTTACATGTCTCTCTATATAAGATATAAAAGTCACAATAATTGAGTAATGGAGGCATAGCTTTTAATTATGACAATATGTTAAAACATGAATTTCACTATAAAAATATATCTAGCTATTTATTTTGTAAGATGGTAGAGTATAAAAATAGACTGAGTTATAAAATATCTAAATTTTTATCCAGTGTATTAAAATTCACTATCAACCCACTAATCCTACCTTGCGTTTTTGAACTATGAGTTTTCCAACTTAGGTACTGTTTACTTACTGAGTTGTCAGTAACTGCATAACCTTGTATTATACATTTTTCTATTGCAAAAGCTGAATTAACACTCTAATCATGCCTTACTGCATTTTATTGAAACTCTCTAAATTAACCTTAAAGCTTATGTATGTGAATGCTTTTGATCTCATTCCTCTTTATGATTGATCCTACCATTGATTCTCTCACTATAAATCAAAAAGCAACTGGCATAATTCCAGGAGTCTTGAATAACATTTAGTATTCATTTAAGTAGAAAATAAGCTTTATACTTTATCAAGTGGTGAATTACTTCCGCTGCCTCATTGCAATGTACCATTATGCAAATGGCATTTGTGGAGTTGTGTGGTGCACAGCCTGAGCAGCTATACACACAGGCAAAAAGCAACAAAAATAATCTGTGTTGTAGAGACTCAGTGTAAATATATTCATTCCAATTCTTTATTTTTTAAAGGCATTGCTATAACTACAATAAAAACTAATACTGATTAGGACACTTACAATGTGCTTGGCATTATTCTAAGTATCTGCAATTGATTCTCTTAATCCTCATAACAATACTATGAAGCAAATATTATTATCCTAATTTTACAAAAAAGGAAATTGAGGTACAAAGAGGCTAAGCAGCCAAGGTCAAACATCTGGTAAGCGGTAAGTATCCTGAGCCTCTTTAGATTGCCTTCACAAATGGATATCATAGGATTTATATCCTTCACTTTTTTCCCTCAATTTCTTAATTTATCTACATACTTTTAACCAGTACTTGGGTCTACTATTATCTATATATCAGTGGGATATTAAATAAATGAATGAGTGAAATCTGGATCTTTAATAAAAGTATTTCCTCTATGCTAGAGACATATACAAATATCCAGCTGCCTGCATTCTATCTGCACTCCTTACAAACGTCTCAAATTGAACTGCCTCGGTTCTAAATGCATTATCTACCCCATCAGCAATAATGCCTCTAGTCTCTATAGAATTGTGCTGTGTCAGAAACAGGCTCGCCTTTTTTTTTTTTTTTTTTTCAAAGAGCCTCTGTGAAAAATCTGCAAATTGCATTCCTCCTTTCCTAATGGGCTTCCTTGTTATACATCTGTGAGTGGCAACACAGGATTTCTTAACAATCTGTTTGCCATTCCTGTCAGCATCATCCTAGCAGCAGCTGGTTCCAGCATCCTGCTTCTCTTGCACCCACAAAACCAGTAGCAGCCAGTATTCTCACTCAGGGATATAAGTCTCAGACCACAGAACCCCTTCTCTGAGCTTCTAGGTTCTGATAGCAGAAACTGCTTCCATTTATTTCTCTCAGATCTAGGGATAGTAGCGCTTCCTTCAATTATATTCCTAGAATATCCTTTAATTATTCCAGCCTCTAAAACCAGTGTAACTAACTAAATTAAATTCATCAGTTAAAATACCTAATGTGATTTCTGTTTCCTGATCAAACCTCCATCAATATATTCATGTATTAGAATTTCCTCTGACTACCCCAGGAAGTTTTCCTTTTATTATTCCAGGCACTTTCTTTAGCCACTCTCGTTGCTTTTTCTGCCACATTCAACTGACTTCCCAAAACTACCAATTATACTCCAGAATATCTGAAAAATCTGTCTTGTTCTTTTATTGCCAATCAAAATGCAGTAGTAAAGAGCAAGGAGTTTTGATTTAAAAAAAAAAAGGCATGGATTCAAAATAACTACTGTTTTCTAGGTCTAAGCCTGAAAGAGACTTGATAGTTGCCTGGTTTAACATCAATAGCCCTAGGAAGTGCTAGTTTAGGGGAAATACTGTGACTGTAACCTCACAGAACAGGCCACTGAAGGAATTACAATCTTTGCATTTTATTTCAGAATTATTCTTTTGTCCCTTTCTATTTTGCAGAGGCAAAGAGAAGGAAAAAGGGCAAGAAAATGAGGGAAAAAAAATAGAGGAAAAGGAAACAAAGAAACCAGTTAGAGAAAGAAAAAAAATAACAGAAGTAGAGGAAGAATTTTATATATGTATACACACACACACACACACATATACATATGTATTTCTGAATTTATATACCCATATATAAATATATATTCTATGTATAGTTTCATATATAAACACAGATGTGCATATATGCTTTTATATGTTATACATATTATTTTATACTATACATAATTTTAATACATTAGGAATATATCATATATATATATACACACCATTGTGTCATCAGCACTCTTGATCTGAGGCTGTCTTAGCTCTAGTGACAAATTTTGCCATCATCCCTTAAAAATTAGGAAGAACTTATAACAAATGCTATGTTTACTGAAAAATAAGTGTTTTCAATTATTCTGTTTTAAGTGTATTTATCCTCTGTTTTCTTTCCTCTTTTAAATAACTTTTCTAAATCAAATAAACTAAAACTATATTCTAGTAGATAAACTAGTCTTCTCTTAAATATACAAGTTTACCAAAACTCTAAGTGGAGGTCTGTGAAAAGATACCAACATACAATTATGGATATTAACTTAAATTTAGTGTGTGGTATATTTATATTGTAAGATTTTGGAATGTTCATCTGGCAAAATGCAGCATTGTGATTAATAAAATTACTGTAAGTTCTGTGCATATGTAATGATAAAATAAATTCACTTATCTAACTTTTTAGAATATTCTTAAAACGTGTCTGTATAATTAAGTTTGGTAGTTATCATTATGAATTGCAATAAGCTGTAGTTGAATTCTAGTGAGTAGATAATTCTGGCGGGTAGAATGTCAGATACACCATTTTTGCTGCTTTGGGCAACATTTGTTGAGTCTTGGTCTCTCATGCCCAGGCAAATGAAAAGTTCTATAAATGAAAACTCTCCATCTGTTCTATGATCTTTGACTTTCTACCTCACAGTGTTGGCATTATTCCCAGGTCTCTCTAGTTATTCATATAATAACTCTATTGAGCTATGGATAAAAGACATTGATATGTTCTTTTTAAAAATCCAATAAAGGAAGATGCTTTCTCATGTTTAAAAGTTCAAAATTACTTTTCTGTTTCACTGTACTGATACGTTTCCACATCTTAATTATTATAAATAAAGGTAGTAAATTTAAAGCTTTGCTTTTTACTAATAGTGTTTTTGAAAATGTTCAATGCATATGTTTTGTGCAACCAGAACATATGGCATATTTTACTAATGTACAGTTATATTCAGGTGTTTCAAATAACTTCCTGGAGATACAAGCTATATTAAAAGTGCTTTACATGAAAGAATACCACACAACAAAACAAATGTTGAAAAGGTTTTAAAACAGCTGTAGGTATT
Source organism: Homo sapiens (assembly GCF_000001405.40). NCBI lineage: Eukaryota > Metazoa > Chordata > Mammalia > Primates > Hominidae > Homo > Homo sapiens. The sequence continues at coordinate 85,602,822 of NC_000007.14, forward strand.
AAAAATAATACTAAAACAGCCTGTTCAAAGTAGACTACATAAAGGGATTATGGACCCAATTGTAAAATAAATTTTTTTAAAAAAAGAATTTGTGGCCTATGACATAGAGAGCCATGTATTGTATATGTATTTTATTTTCCTTACATATCTGGTTTGGCATTCTACACACACACACAAATTTTATTTACTGACTGACTAAGCCGGTGATAGGTCTCTACAGATGGTAGGACTGTCATTCCATTCAATCAACAGGTACTTATTGATTGTTTCAAACACTCGTGAACTGGGGATACTGTATTGGACAAATAAGCATTATGCATGATTCCATGAGTTTAGTGTCTAATGGGGGAAACAAATTTTAAAATAAATCAATTAAAACAATCTAACAGAATGTACAACAATTACTAACATATTTACCAACATGGATGAATATATTTATATACATATATACACACATACATACACATAAACAATAACAAAGACCTAAAAAATTTAAGTGAAAAGGTACATTAGAAATTATTTACAAAACTTATCATGTCAAATAATCAATTATCAGAATATATAAAATACTCATTGGAATTCATTTCTTTTACAAAGACAAATGGCATCAAATAAATAAAAACAACAACAACAACAGCCTGCATTTTTTTCCTTTTACTCTGTTGACCAGGAAAACACACATTTCTTTATAGAAGAATAAAAATTATAAATTATACCCTTATAGTAATAATTATAGAAATAAAAATGAAGGCTTCAATAAGGTATTTTCTCTTTTTAATTCTTAATTTTTGTGGGTACACAGTAGGTATATATATTTATGTGGCACATGAGATATTTTGAAGCAGACATTCAGTGCATAATAATCACATTATAGAAAATGGGGAATCCATCCCCTCAAGCATTTATCCTTTGTGTTACAGACAATCCAGCTATAATCTTTTTGTTATTTTAAGATGTTACAATTAAATTATTATTGATTATAGTCACCCTGTTTTGCTATCAAATAATAGGTCTTATGTATTCTTTCTAACGAATTTTTTGTACCCATTAACCATCCCCCAGTGTCCCCCACCTTTCCATTACCCTTCCCAGCCTTTGTTAACATCCTTCTACTCTCTGTCTCCATAAGTTCAACTGTTTTGATGTTTAGAACCTACAAATGCATGAGAATATGCATCATTTGTCTCTCTGTGACTGACTTATTTCACTTAACATAATGACCTCCAGTTCTATCCATGCTATTGCAAATGACACGATCTCATTCTTTTTTAATGGCTGAATAGTACTCCATTGTGTAAATAGCACATTTTCCTTATCCATTCATCTGTTAAAGGACACTTAGGTTACATCCAAATCCTGTCTATTGTGAACAGTATTGCAACAAGCATAGGAGTACAGATATCGCTTTGATATACTGATTTTCTTTTTTTGGGTATATACCCAGCAATGAGATGGCTGGATCATATGGTAGTTCAATTTTTAGCTTTTTGAACAAGCTCCAAACTGTTTTCCATAGTGGTTGTATGAGGGTTCTTTTCTCTCCATCCTCACCAGCATTTGTTATCATCTGTCTTTTGGATATAAGCCATCTTAAATGGAGTTAGAAGATAGCTCATTGTAGTTTTGATTTGCATTTCTTTGATAATCAATGATATTGAACACCTTTTCATATGCTTTTTTTCCCTTTTGTATGTCTTCTTTTGAAAAGTGTCTATTCAAGTCTTTTACTCTTTTACCCATTTTTAAATCAGATCATTCTATTTTTTTCCTATAGAGTCGTATGAACTCCTTATATATTCTGGTTATTAATACCTTATCAGATGGGTAGTTTGCAAATATTTTCTCCTACTTTTGGGGTTGTCTCCTCACTTTGCTGGCTTTCCTTTGGTATGCAGAAGTTGTTTATCAATGTGACCCCATTTGTTCATTTTTTCTTTGGTTGTCTGTGCTTGTGGGATATTACTCAAGATATTTTTGCCCAGACCAATGTCCTGAAGACTTTCCCTCAATGTTTTCTTGTAGATATTTCATAGTTTGTGGTCTTAGACTTAAGTAATCCACTTTGATTTGATTTTTGTGTATGATGAGAGATCGGGATCTAGTTTCATTTTTCTGAATATAGATATCCAGTTTTCCCAGCACCATTTACCAAAGATACTCTTATCCCAATGGATGTTCTTGGCACCTTTGTTGAAAATGTGTTCACTATACATATGTGGATTTGTTTCTGGGTTTCCTATTCTGTTTCTTTGGTCTGTATGTCTGTTTTAATGCCAGTACCATGCTGTTTTGGTTATTATATTTTTGTAGTGCAATTTGAAGTAATGTAATGTGATTCCTCCAGTTTTGTTCTTTTTGCTCAGGATAGCTTTGGCTATTCTGGGTGTTTCATGGCTCCATATAATCTTTAAGATTTTTTTTTTCTATTTCTGTGAAGAATGTCATTGGTATTTTGTTGGGGATTTCATTGAATCTGAAGATTGGTTTGGATAAAATGGATATTTTAATCAATATTGACTCTTCCAATCCATGAATATAGAATATCTTTTCATTTTTTGTGTCCTCTTCGGTTTCTTTCCTCGGCATATTTTGGTGTTCATTGTAGAGATCTTTCACTTCTTTGGTTAGTTAATTCCTAGGTATTTAATTTTATTTGCAGCTATTGTAAATGGAATTACTTTTTGATTTCTTTTTCAAGATACTTTCTTAATCCCTCAGGTTGGCAAAAATAGAGTTTTTTGATCATACCAAGTGTTTGCAAGCATGTGAAATAACCAGAATCTACATGAATTGTTGGATTGTAAATTTAGAAAAACCCATATGAACACTAACTTAGTATTATCTTATAAACTAGAAGATGTATAGTCCCTACAATCTCCTTTCAATTGTAAGTATATATATTCTATAGAAACACTCACACATTTAAAGAAACAAAACAAACTATTGAACAGCACCAGACACTGGCAAATTCTCAGCAGATTAATTCAATCTCCAAGCACAAAATATTATCATGGCTGAGCCTGGGATATCTTACAGTATTGTTTAAAATAGCAAAAATGTTAGAAACAACCCAGATAATCCATTGTCAAGATAGTGTACAAATAAGTTATGGTGTATTCACACAGTGTAATATATGCTAGTGAAAAAATGAGCCAGTATTACACCAACAAAGTAAAAAACGTTATAAGTAAGTTTTAAATTAAAAAAAACTCATACATATACATACACAAATTGTAATACTATTTTCACCAAATAAAACATATGTTGTTTAAAAATACATATATTTAAAACCATATAAAAACAAGGAAATGTTTACTAAAAATATGTTAGATAGACATTGGAAGGTAAGGATGAAGAGAATTATAAAAGTAGAGATTCAATTATGTTGGTAATGTTCTAGTAATTTTCTTAGATTTTAGGTATATAGGTATTTCTTTCATTAGTATGTTTTAAAAATTACATGTAATTATATGTATAATATTATGTGTAGAAGATACTACAAAATAAATGTTGTTTAAACTTGAATAGAATAAAGCATTTTTTTTTTTTGAGACAGACTCTCACTCTGTCTCCCAGGCTGCAGTGCAGTGGCACAATATTGACTCACTGCAATCTCTGCCTCCTGGGTTCAAGGGATTCTCCTGCCTCAGCCTCCTGAATAGTTGGGATTACAGGTGCCCACCACCAAGCCTGGCTATTTTTTGTATTTTTAGTAGAGATGGGTTTTCACCATGTTGGTCAGGCTGGTCTCGAACTCCTGACCTTGTGATCTGCCCACCTCAGCTTCCCAAAGTGCTGCGATTACAGGCATGAGCCATCGTGCCCAGCCAGAATAAATCAATTTTGAAGGCCATACTAAATTTGAATTTTCTGGAAAATATGCAGCTATTTGAAAGATGTGGCTAGTTAAAAATGTAGAATTTTAAGTTTTGGAAATATATATATTCTATATGAAATTCTAAGATTTTATATATGTAAATATGTATAGTATTCAGTATATAGCATATATTATATATGCACACATACACATATGTGTATTTAAAGAAGAGAAATTCTGGGTAGAAGCCATGGTTCGCACAGTTAGGTGGAGAAAGAGGGCCAATAAAGAAGTCTGAGAAGGACCAGTAATTTCACTAAGAAGTAAACCAGCAGTCAAAAGGTAGGAATCATTTAACAAGAAGGGAGGTGCAAGTGTATAGATTTTTACCAAGAGGATGAATAAAATAGAACCAGAAAAGATGCATGTCAAATTTTAAAACTGTTTTTCTAAAACGTAGAGTACTAGATGCAGAATCCAAATGAAAGTGAATTAAAGAGTGAATGGCGAATATATTGGAATATCCTGAACAAAACTCCACTGTAAACAACTAAAAATATTAGATGCAATTTAGAAAATATGACTTTCTATGTGTTGTTGAACTGGGAAGAAAGTAAACACTGAGTGTCTATGAACCAAACAAAAGTATGGATTCAGTGAGATGAACTAGCCCCTACCCTAAGAGCAGCTTCAGACTTTGACTTTTAGCTTAAGAGCTTCCTAAACAACAGGAATATATGGGTTAGGGATAGCATTAGGGTTAGGGTTAGCATTAGGGTTAGGGTTGGGGTTAGAGTCCAAGCCCCGCACATGAGTCTGAAGCGAGACATTGGCATGAAGCCTGGACTCCAAAAAGACTATATTCTCCGTGGAAGGTTGAACCACAGAAAAAATTGCTTGCAAAGACAGAAAGAACATGCAATTGTCTTTCTGAAATCTAGCTCTGAGTGGAGAGAACAAAATAATCTCCTTTGAGTATTTGTAACCATGAAATAAAGTCCATGAAGATTTGTGTCCTGACCTCATAGTACCAGAATAACACCTAATCATCCTCAAAATGCTCCGATAGACAACATTTATATTAAAGAATTAAGGTTGACCTGGGCTTGTAATGGTTGTCAGTTACTCAGCAAAAGCTAATGCAGATCCTCTCTAATAGAGGGCACCTTGAACACAGGCCTTAAAGAATCTCCACATACAAAAATTCATATGAACAGGAGCTCTTAATAAAATGGAAAAAGCACATACATAAAGAAAAAGGCACAATGAACAAGAACAGGCACATGAGAAAACACAGAATAAAGACTCACAAATAATTCAGATATTAGAATTATGGGACACAGAATATGAAATATGTTATAAAAAGCAGAAAAAAATAAGAAATCATGAAAATAAGATGAAAATTTAAAAAAAGATAATTTTTAAAGAAAATTATGTATACATAAAAACCGATTGAATGGGTTAAGCTGTAAACTGGCAAATTTCTATCTACTATAAATCTAATTCAGTTCTTGAAAAGTATCCTGTACACTCCTAGGAAACTCTGAGACACTTATTTCAAGGAGTCCTAAAGTTAAAATTAGTTTCATAATAATACTACAGAGTTAATAACCTTTTTCTACTGTATTTATATTCACAAAAACAATAGTGGGTAAAATCGCTGACATCTGTGAATAACCAAGGCAATGGCAACAATATATACTAGTAACTGAATCTGTTATTATTATGTACATGCAGTTAAAAATAAAACATAAAATAAAAGTTCAGTTCATACTTAAGGGCATGAACAGAATAAAAACTACTAATTATTTACAATCTCCTCCCTTACAAAAATATACAATCTTTTTTGTATTTTCTGTAGTTACATGGGGAATATGTATAAAACACTTTGCTGCATAAACTACCATAGTTATTTCAAGGAAAATAACTTGTATGATGTTTGAATTTTTAGCTTAGCCAATCAGTTATTCATGAAACCCGTCATTTCAGTTGAAATAATAACTGACAAACTATGGTTATTCATACTTCAGTATTTGCCAAATAACTTCTTGAAAATGAACAACAAAAGCCTGTCATATCAAGAAAAATAGTTGACAGTATTTGTTGCCAATAGTAAAATTGGATCATGGAGTGAAAATTAAAATTTTGTGTAACTTGTATTCACCACTATAACTTGACAGTTTCCCAATTCTAAAAGATTTGTCTAATGAAATCTGTAGCAATAGTAACAAAACTTATTGTTTGATATGTATTATGACATGTCAAAATTTGGAAAATTTGCATACTCCAATCAAGAAATATTTTCCAAATGATCAACTCATGATGTTGCAAAATCATGCTTTTAGCTAAAGTATATAATTAAATTGCAAGATAAACTGATGGATTTTAATGTAACAGAATATAAAATGTTTACTGATAAGGCTTCACATTTCACATTGGAATCATCCTTTAAGATATTACCTACCACTTGTCAGATTTTAGTGCAGTAGCAAAAAGGAATATTTATAGTTATCTGAAAATGTTACTAAAACCATTCTTCTTTTTTCAGTTACATATCTGTATGAACTTTGGTTTTCTTCATACACTCCAACCAAAATGACATGTAGCAAAATTTTGATAAAAAATATGAAAAACAACTGTTTTCTATTATGGCAGATATTAAAGAGATTTGCAAAAATACCACTCTTCTCACTGGATTCCTTCTGTTTTGGAAATATAGTTATTTTAATAAAATATGATCATTTAATTAAACATAGGGTTTTTTTGTTTTGTTTTGTTTTGTTTTGTTTTTTGACAGTCATGATCTCGGCTCACTGCACTGCAGCCTTGACCTCCTGGGCTCAAGGGATCTTCCCACCTCAGCCTCCCAAGTATCTGGGACTACAGGCACATGCCACCATGTCCAGCTAATTTTTTGTATTTTTGTACAGACAGGGTTTTACTGTTAAAAACAGTGGTCTTGAACTGGGTTTGGCTGGTCTCGAACTCCTGGGCTCAAGCTATCCATTGGCAGCTGCTTCTTAAAGTGATGGGATTATAAGTATGAGACACCATGCCCATCCAAAATATAGGTATTTAAAAAATACTTCCATTTATATTAACAAATAATATTTTTATTTTAAAATTATTTGGAGTCAATTAATAATAGCCTAATTTTTTCAGTTTCAAATATACTCAATATTGACTTTGGTGATTATCAGTAATTTTTAAGTAAGAAAAGAGTTCATGAGACCAAAGTACTTAAGACTGTAGATAGACAAATAAATAAATAGATATATTATATTGGTGCAAAATTAATTGTGGTTTTTGCCATTTAAGAGTAATAGCAAAATTGCAATTACTTTTGCACCAACTTAATATATAGCGTTAACAAGCGCAGTTATCAGGGTCCAGTGGAGAGAGGCCATGGGAGAAAAAAATTAATAACAATAAAGTTATGGAGTATAGAATAAGAATTACTCATATATGTTTTTAAAGATTACTAAAAATAATTAAAAATGAATGTGAGAGAGAGAGTTGGCAATATTACAAAACATGTAGGAGAATATGAGGAACTTCCAGAGTTAAAAACACATAAAATTCCAAATTCAGGAAATATAATGGATCTGTCAAGACAAATAAAAAATAATTGATACTTAAGTCATATTGTAATTAAACACCAATATCATATCAAATATAAAGTGAATATTTAAAATTTTACCAAGAGAAAATTATTAAAAAGGACCTACAAGATTGACATCAGAATTCACAAAATCAACAATGAAAGCGGAGGTATTTATACAAAATAAAATGCCATCTAAAGTTAAATATCCATCTAACTCACATTCAAGTATTAGAGTAAAATTAAGATACATCTAGATAACAAATACCACTTGACCCAGCATCTCATTACTGGGCATATACCCAAAGGAATATAAATTATTCTATTACAAAGATACATGTATGCGTATGTTCATTGCAGCACTATTCACAGTACCAAGGACATGGAATTAACCCAAATGCCCATCAATGATAGACTAGATAAAAAAGAAAATGCAGTACATATACATCAGGGAATACTATGCATCCATAAACAAGAATGAGATCATGTCCTTTGCGGGGATGCTGATGGAGCTGGAGGCCATGATCCTTAGCAAACTAATGCAGGAACAGAAAATAAAAGATAACATGTTCTCACTTATAAGTGGGAGCTGAACAATGTGAACACATGGATTAAGGGGGGAAACAACAAACACTGCAGCCTATCGGGGGTATAGTAGGGGAAGAGAGAGCATTAGGAGAAATAGCTAATGCATGTTGGGCTTAATATTTAGGTGTTGAGTTGATAGGTACAGCAAACCACCATGACACACATTTACCTATGTAACAAACCTGCACATCCTGCACATGTACCCAGAACTACAAATTTAAAAATAAATAAAACAACAAAAAAATTTAATTGAATTGACTTTGCACCTTTGTCAAAAATTAGTTGTTGTTGGCTATATTTCTAGACTCTATTTTTTTCCATTTGTCTATGTGTCTATTCTTTGTCCACTACTACAACAGCTGTATCTTTATAGTAAGTTTTAAAACCAGATAGCCAGAGTTCTCCAACTTTGTTCTTTTTTCCAACTTGCATTGGCTAATCTAGTTTACAAATTTTAGAATTGTTGTTGAGATTGTTTTGAATCTAGAGATCAAATTAAATCTGAAAATTCATTAGCCTACTATGTCTCCCTATTATTTAGGTCTTATTTGATATTCTCATTAATGTTTTGTAGTTTTCAGCAGACAAATTTTGCATGCATTTTGATAGAGTAAAAGTGTTTTCTCAGTAGTGTGATGAAAGTAATATTTTCAAAATATCCAATTGTTAATGATACTAATAAGGAACTCAATAGGCTGGGCATGGTGGCTCACACCTGTAACCCCAGCACTTGGGGAATCCAAGGCGAGTGGATCACCTGAGGCCAGGGGTTTGAGACCTGCCTGGCCAACATGGTGTAACTCTGTCTCTACTAAAATTAGCTGGGTGTGGTTTGGGGGTGCCTGTAATCCCAGCTCCTCAGGAGGCTGAGGCTGGATAATAGCTTGAACGTGGGAGGCAGAGGTTGTATTGAGCCGAGATCACATCACTGCACTCCAGGCTGGGTGACAAAGAGAGACTCTGTCTCAAAAATAAAATAAAATAACTCCAATTGATTATTTTATATTGAATGTGCATCTTATGCCCATGCTTAATTCACATATTTATTTTAATAGCCTTTTAATAGGATTTTTTCAGATTTTCTACATTCACTATTATATTGCCTGCAAATATAGACAGCTTAATTTATTTTTAAAATATGTATGCATGTTATACATTCTTTTTGCTCTGCTGAGTTTACTCCAAACTTCAGTACAATGTTAGATAAGATTATTAAAAGTGACTATCCCAATTGTGTTTTTTATTTTAGGAACATACCTAACCAAGGAAGTGAAAGACCTCTACAAGGAAAGTTATCAAACACTACTTAAGGAAATCATAGACAGGACAAACAAATGGAAACACATCCTATGCTCATGGATAGGTAGAATAAATATTATGAAAATGACCATACTGCCAAAACCAATCTAAGAATTCAATGCAATACTCATCAACATACCACCATCATTCTTCACAGAACTAGAAAAAACAATCCTAAAATTCATATGGAACCAAAAAAGAGCCCCACGTAGACAAAGCAAGACTAAGCAAAAAGAACAAATCTGAAGGCATCACATTACCCAAATTTAAACTACACTATAATGTTGTAGTTACCAAAAAAAAAAAAAAGAATGGTACTTGTATAAAAATAGGCACATAGACCAATGGAAAATATCATAGAGAATTGAGAAATAAAGTCAAATACTTACAGCCAGCTGCTCTTTGACAAAGCAAACAAAAACATAAAATGGAGAAAGGACACTATTCAACAAATGGTGCTGGGATAATTGGCAAGCCACAAATAGAAGAATGAAACTGGATCCTCATCTCTCAATTTACACAAAGATCAACTCAGCATGGATCAAAGACTTAAATCTAAGACCTGAAACATTTTCCAATGTTAGAAGATAACATTGGAAGATAACATTGGAAAAACCCTTCTAGACACTGGCTTAGGCAAAGACTTTATGACCCATAACCCAAAAGCAAATGCAACAAAAACAAAGATAAATAGATGGGACCTAATTAAACTCAGAGGCTTCTGCACAGCAATAGAAATAATCAGCCAACTAAAAAGACAACCCACAGAGTGGGAGAAAACCTTCACAATCTATATATCTAACAAAGGACTGTTATCCGGAATCTACAAAGAATTCAAGCAAATCAACAAGAAAAAAAATCCCATCAAAAAGTGGGTTAAAGACATGAATAGAAAATTCTGAAAATAATATGTACAAATGGCAAACAAACATACGGAAAAGTGCTCAACATCGCTAATTATCAGGGAAATGCAAATCAAAACCACAATGCGATACCACCTTACCAATGCAATACCAAGAATGGCCATAATCGAAAAATTAAAAAAAAAAAAACTAGATGTAGTCACCACTCACTAAATAACATATCCATGTAACAAAACACCACCTGTTCCCCAAAAGCCTACTGAAATAAAACTAGTTTAAAAAATTTAATTAAACTTAATTTGAAAAATACAAATGGCAAACAGGCATATGAAAATATGCTCAACATCATTGATCATCAGATAAATGCAAATCAAAACTACAATACAGTGTCATCTCACCTCAGTTAAAATGGCTTTTATTCAATAACAAATGCAGTAATGTGGAGAAAAGGAAACCCTCATACACTGTTGGAGGAAATGTAAATTGATACAATTACTATGGAGAACACTTGAAGGTCCATCAAAAAAGTAAAAGTAGAGTCACCATACAATCCAGCAATCTCACTGCTGGGTATATGCTCATAAGAATGGAAATCAGTATATCGAAGAGATATCTGCACTGCCATGTTTATTGCAGGAGTGTTCATAATAGCTAAGATTTGGAAGTAACCTAGGTGTCCATCAACAGATGAATGGATAGGGAAAATGCTCTACTTATGCACAAGCACTATTCAGTCATCAAATAGAATAATATCCTCTCATGTGCAACAATATGGATGGAATTGGAGATAATTACGTTAAATGAAATAAGCCAGGAACAGAGAGAGAAACTTTTCATGTTCTCACATACTTGGGGGATCTAGAAATTAGAACAATTGAACTTACGAAGATAGAGAATAGAAGGAGGGTTATCAAAGACTGGGAAGAGTAGTGGAAGGGAAGTTGTGAAGATGGTGAATGGATATAAAAAAAGAATTAGAAAGAATGAATAAGATCTAGCATCTGATAGCATAACACGGTGACTGTAGTCAAAATTATTTAATTGTACATTTTAAAATAACCAAAAATGTATAATTGGATTGTTTGTAAAACAAAAGAAAAATGCTTGAGACTATAGACACTCCATTTTTCATGATGTAATTATTGTACTTTTCTGCATGTATAAAAATATCTCATGTACTCCATAAATGTATACATCTACCATGTACTCACAAAAATTAAAAATAAAAATAAAAAGTTTGAGGTCTCTGGCGAGATAGCCGATAAGACACAGACAAGTGGAACAGCGCTCACAAAGAGACAAGATGACTGCTGATCTTTTAACAGATCTTCAGAGGTAAGGCACGGAGAGTAGACTAAAGGAAGACACAGAAGCTGGGCTGAAGTGGGAGAAAACTGGCAACCCAGCACTGGGCTACCACACACAGGGACTTATTTTTGAACCAAAACATCTCTGAGGTAATGGGTGATTTGAACTGTCAAGGAACAACCTGCTGTCATCATGGGCCTTTGGAACCCCAACAGCAGGAGACCCCTCTACCACCACGGACACTAGAAGATGTAGGGAGAGCTGCTTACAGAAGTGGTGTGGGCAGGAAACCAGCTTATGTGGAGCCCAGAAGGCTTGGGGTGTGGGAGCATCTCTAACAGAGCATGGCCAGGGATGCCCATTCTCCCTAGGTTCAACTTGCTCTCATATGAGATTTTAGCCCCAGGGAAACTGTTAGACCTAATCTCTGCAGGTTGGTCTTGCCTATCAGATGGAGCTAGTTTGACCTGAGCACCCCGTGGTCGGCTGGCCTCTCCCTGAACCCCATCCTGGCCACACCTGCTTGCAGGGCAGCCCTGGGGACTGTGCCAGAGCTTCCATGCTGGTGGGCCATGCCTGAGCAGTGGAAAGTTCCAGGCAGCCAGTCCCTGTGACCACGCACCAGTCCGCATGCTGACTCCCAATACTGCAGCTTCCCCTTGGCCCATGGCAACTCCCCACATCACTTTGCTGTTGCACGGGAGGGCTTTGCTTTGCTTGTCTTGTCAGCACACAGGAGTGCAGTTTGCCCCCATTTCCCCACTGACCACCATTGCAGAAGTAGCTTTGGTGGGCACAGAGCCAAAAAGCCCAGCCTCCACCAGTGCCCTTGCACTAACCCTGCATAGAGAACAGCAAATCCTCCCACACACTGAGCGATCACTCTTGCTTGCAGGGTACAGAGAAGGCACCCAGACCTGCATATCTATGGAACTCTCCACTCCAAAACAACAGAATATACATTCTTCTCATCACCACAAGGCACTTATCTAAAATAAATTACATAATTGGAAGAAAAACACTCCTCAGCAAATGCAAAATAACTGAAATCATAGTCTCTCCAAGCACAGCACAATCAAATTAGAAATCAAGACTAAGAAATTCACTCAAAACCATGCGATTACATGGAAACTGAATAATCTGCTCCTGAATGACTTTTGAGTAAATATTAAAATTAAAGTAGAAATCAAGAAGGTCTTTAAAACTAATGAGAACAAAGATAAAACATGCCAGAATCTCTGGGACACAGCTAAGGCAGTGTTAAGAGGGAAATTTATAGCACTAAACGCCCACATGAAAAAGTTAGAAAGATCTCAAGTTAACAACCTAACATCACAACTGAATGAACTAGAGAACCAAGATCAAACAAATCCCTAAGCTAGCAGAAGACAAGAACAAAACAAAATCAGAGCTGAACTGAACTGAACAAGATTGAAATACAAAAATCATTTAAAAAAATCAACAAATCCGGGAGCTGGATTTTTGAAAAACTTAATAAAATAGATAAACCACTAGCTAGACTAATAAAGAAGAAAAGAGAGAAGATTCAAATAAACATCAGAAACAACAAGGGGGATATTACCACAGACCCCACAGAAATACAAACAACCATCAGAGAATATTATAAATATCTCTATGCATGTAAACTAGAAAATCTAGAAAAAAATGGATAAATTCATGGACACATACACCCACCTGAGACTGAATCAGGAAAAAAATAAATTCCTGAACAGACAAATAATGAGCTCTGAAACTGAGGCAGTAATAAAATGCCTACCAGCCAAAAAAAATTTTTTTTTTAAATTAAAAAGCCCAGGAGTAGGTGGATTCACAGCTGAATTCCACCAGATATGCAAAGAAGAGCTTGTACCATTTCTATTGAAACTATTCCAAAAATTTGAGGAGAAAGAACTCCTCACTAACTCATTCTATGAGGCCAGCATCATCCTGAAACCAAAACCTGACAGAGATACAACAAAAGGAAAAAAAAACAAAACTGCAAGCCAATATCCTTAATCAACATGAAAAAAAAAATTCCACAACAAAATACTGGAAAATTGAATCCAGCAGCACATTAAAAAACTTATCTACTATAATCAAGTAGGCTTTATCCTGAGATGCAAGGTTGTTTCAACATACACTAATCAATAAATGTGGTACATCATATAAACAGAACTAAAGACAACACATGATTATCTCAATAGATGCAGAAAATGGTTTGAAAATGCAGCACCCCTTCATGATAAAAACACTCCATAAACCAGGTATTGAAGGAGCATACCTCAAAATAATAAGAGGCATATATGACAGTCACTGCCAACATCATATTGGATGGGCAAAACCTGGAAGCATTCCCCTTGAAAACTGGCACAAGAGAAGGATGTCCTCTCTCACCATTCCTATTCAATAGAGCATTGAAGTCCTGGCCAGAGCAATTAGGCAAGAGAAAGAAATAAAGGGCATCCAAATAAGAAGAGAGGAAGTCAAACTATCTCTGTTTGCAGATGACATGGTTCTTTATCTAAAAAACCTAATAGTCTCAGCCCAAAAGCTTTCAAGCTGTTAAACAACTTCAGCAAAGTCTCAGGAAAAACAATCAATGTGCAAAAATCACTAGCATACCTATACATCAACAGTCAAGCCGAGAGCCAAATCAGGAAAGTAATCTCATTCATAATTGCCACAAAGAGAATAAAATACTTAAAAATACAGCTAACAAGAGAAGTGAAAGATCTCTACAAGGAGAATTACAAACTACTACTGAAAGAAATCAGAGATGACGCAAACAAATGAAAAAACATTTTATGCTCATGGATAGGAAAAAGCAGTATCATTAAAATGACCATATTGCCCAAAGCAATCGACAGATTCAGTGCTATTTCTATTAAACTACCATTGAGATTCTTCATAGAATTAGAAAGAAGTGTTTTAAAATTTAGGTGGAATCAGAAGAGAGTTCAAATAGCCAAGGCAATCCTAAGCAAAAAAACAAAGCTAGAGGCAACATGCTACCCGACTTCAAGCTATACTACAGGGCTACAGTAACCAAAACAGCAGGTTACTGGTACAAAAACAGACATAGACCAATAGAACAGAACGCAGAACCCCTAAATAAGTCCACACACCTACAACTGTCTGATCTTCGACAAAACTGACAAAAACAAGCAATTGGGAAAGGATTCCCTATTCAGTAAATGGTGCTGAAATAACTGGCTAGAAATATGCAGAAGATTCAAACTGGAACCCTTCCTTACACCATGTACAAAAATTAATTCAAAATAGATTAAAGACTTAAATGCAAAACCCAAAACTATAAAAACCCTGGAAATAACCTAGGCAATATCATTCACGAAATAGGCATGAGCAAAGATTTCACGATGAAGATTGCAAAAGCAATTGTAACAAAAGCAAAAATTGACAAATGGGATCTAATTATACTAAAGAGCTTCTGCACTGAAAAGGAAACTTCCAACAGAGTTAGCAGGTGACCTACAGAATGGGACACAAATTTTGCAAATTTTGCTTCCCTAAGGTCTAATATTTAGCACCTATACAGAACTTAAACAAATTTACAAGAACAAAAGCAATCCCATCAAAAAGAGGGCAGAGGACATGAACAGGCATTTCTCAAAAGGAGACATACATGCAGCCAAGAATCATATGACAAAAGCTCAATATCACTGATCATTAGAGAAAATGCAAATCAAAATCACAGTGTGATACCATCTCACACAAGGCAAAATGGCTATTATTAAAAAGTCAGAAAATAACAGATGTTGGCAAGGTTGTGGATAACCAACACATAATAAGAGAAACAAGAGTATTTTTATTTGTAAAATAAATAATTTTAGTAAAAGAAAAAAGTTTGCATAGTACATGTATTATTTTTCTATGAAATATAAATAATAAATACAATGAAGTTGCTAAGTTTCCAAATATCTTGAGATTTTAAAACTATATTTATTTTACTGATTTTTGGCTTAATTCTGCAGTATTCAGAGCACTTATATAATTTTGCTCATGTTATTCAAGTTTGTTTCATAGCCAAGAATATGATCAATTTTGGCAAATGTTCCACATGTACATACTCTTAAGTGCACATTGGTGGGTATGGTTACTGTTAGTTGGTATTGTATATAAAGACAGGTTAATTAATGATGTTGTTCAGATCTAGCATACCAGGAGTTAGCAAAGATTTTTTGAAGGACTAGATATTAAGTATTTTGATCCCATAGATCATATTGTCTTTATCACAACTACTCAGCTCTGCTGTGGTGATGTGAAAGCCATCATAGACAATATGTGAATGAATAGATGCATCTGTGATTCTGTAAAACTTTATTTACAAAATCCAGTAGTTGCTCCATAGATCATAGGCTACTGAGCCCTGGTTTCAGACCCTTCTGGTGGCTGATTTACTTGTTCTATTGATTACTGTATGGGGCATTGACATCCCCATCTATAACTGTGGATTTGTATTTCTTTTTTCAGTTCCATTAATGTTTGCCTTGTGATTTTTAAAGCTCTGCTCTTATGAGCATACACATTTTTGGATTATTATGTCTTCTTCCTGAATTGATGTTATCATTATGTAATATCATTCTTTTATCTTTGAATTTTTTTTTAATTGACGGAGTCTCACTCGTTGCCCAGGCTGGAATGTAGTGGTGCAATCTTGGCTCACTGCAACTTCTGCCTCCCGGGTTCAAGTGATTCTCCTGCTTCAGCCTCTCGAGTAGCTGGGATTACAGGCACCTGCCACCATGCCTGGCTAATTTTTGTATTTTTTTTAGTAGAGACTGGGTTTCACCACGTTGGTTAGGCTGGTCTCGAACTCCTGACCTCAGGTGATCTGCCTGCCTCGGCCTCCCAAAGTGCTGGGATTACAGGCATAAGCCACCACACCTGGCAGAATTGTTCATTTTTTAAGTCTACTTTGTCAGCAAATATAGAAAGTTAAACTTTATTTTCATCAGTATCTTTATGTCATATATTTTTCCATCTTTCTGCTTTAAATTTACTTCATACTTCTCAAACACTTGAGATTTTGCATATGCTAATGCCTCCCCTTCTTTCTGTAGCATATCTCAGTTTATCACAGATGACAATCCTAGCAATTGCTATGCTAATGGATTCCAGGGACTATCAATCATACACCCACCATCAGTGATGAGAACCCGTAATTCAGTCAATGATTGACTGTCCCCATACAAAATTCCAGAGCAAGAAAAATCTGTGGGAACACATGGATTTGTAAGTAAAGGCAACTCCCATTAAACTAAGGGGAAGTGTCCAGAAAAGGGGAATGTTGTAAGCTTTTAGCAGTCTATGTTTGTGGCAGCTGGAGGAAGGATGTCCTGGTTTGTTAAAGGAAATCTGAGGTGAATGCAATGGCCTCTGCTATAAAGGGAAAGCACAGTGCTTTGCACAAAACCAGATTAACTCAATATCATCTGAATGATTGTTAGCCTTTTCTACTTCCCTAAGACTTTGTTCACTAATACCGACATCATGTCCTTTTGTATATGAAACAAAAATTCCTTATTTCTCCATTTAATGATCACATTTCACATTGAATATCCTACAAATAAAATGAATTTCTCCTAACACACTTGTCAAATACATTGAACATGTTTTTTGTGCATATGGCTTTGCCCTTTGGTTGATAGTCCTTCCTTACATGATTTTTAGTATTTTTTGGGGGGAATTTTACATATGAGCTCACTCCAGTTTTAGTAGACAGTAAAATACACATTCAGAAGCCTTTCCTTTACATACAAATTTACAATGAAATTTCTCTCTTATGTTCAGCAATAATTCTACCAGTAGTATTCATTTAGACCTTATGTAATGGTGTGCATTACTACTTACCCATTTTGGGGTATATTTTATCCATGCAATCAGACTAAGTTGCTTGAAACAATGGGACTATAAAGTATGCCTGTTTTTATTCTTCTCAAAATTAAAGAAAAGTGTTTCATCTAAGAGGGCATTGTGTAACAGTCTCAAAGAGAGAAGCCAAATCTATTTAAGTTGTGCCCCCATCATACTGCATAGTCCCTGGCATATAGAAAACTTCACAGTAGCAAAGACTTGGAACCAACCCAAATTTCCATCAATAATAGACTGGATAAAGACAATGTGGCACATATACACCATGGAATACTATGCAGCCATAAAAAAGGATGAGTTCATGTCCTTTGCAGGGACATGGATGAAGCTGGAAACCATCATTCTCAGCAAAATATCACAAGGACAGAAAATCAAACACTGCACGTTCTCAGTCATAAGTGGGAGTGGAACAATGAGAACACATGGACACCAGGAGAGGAACATCACACACTGGGGCTTTGGGGGGTGGAGGGCTGGGGGAGGGATAGCATTAGGAGAAATACCTAATGTAAATGATAAGTTGATGGGTGCAGCAAACCAACATGTGACATGTATACCTATGTAACAAACCTGCACGTTGTGCACACATGTACCCTAGAACTTGAAGTATAATAAAAAAAAGAAAAATAAATTAAGACAATTTATTTCTTCTGGTTAAGCGCATATCCTGGCATGTCTGTCTGTTTGTTTGTTTGTTTATGGGTGCTTATACAAAACCACAAATCTAATAACTTGATTTTAAAAAAATGGGAATATTCTCTGAAATGGCAGTTTTTTTTCTAAATTGCATTAATCTGTTTTTAATTACTATGTGAAAAGTGGTTAGTTTATTCCATTTATAACCCACATAGTGATGAACATTCTTGAATTTATTTCTCAATTTCTTAAAACCACAGACCTACAGATGAGTTTGAATCAGATCCAAAATGTATGGTTACTTAAAACACATGGGGACAGGCTGCAGATTGGAGGGAATTCTATAAGCACAGGCACATGACAGCTAGAAATTAGGAAAACAATTTGAATGGAAAGAATTGAGCCATATCTTTGTTAGAACTAAATTTACTGACTTGTTTATGAAATAACAATTGAGGTAAGTTTCTTAAGAAAATACTGGTGAATGTAAACCAGTTTCATTTATTTATTTTGTGTACATATTTACAAGCCCTTAGGATTCTACATTATAGTCAGAATAATGTGTGTTTTTGTAAGGCTATACAAGAGTAAAAGAAACTGAGCTAGTATTGCCAACATAGCCGAAAGAGGAAGTATCTAAAATCTAACGAGAATATCCTTCCATTTCTGAGAAGTATTGCAGAACCGTTTTGCAAACCTAGGAGATTTGTACAACCTAAGAAAAACAAATATTTGAGTGCTTATTCAGACTGACTCTGTCAAAATGTGCCCATTATTAAAAGACAAATTTTCTCTGGTGGGCTAGATAATTTCTCTTTTTGACAAATGAATTACCACAAGGGAAGCCTGTCAACTCTATTATATGTCCCTCTTTCTCTTTTATTTGACTTCTAGTCATTTCAAAGCCATTTTCATTTGGTCTCTACTACTTTGACATTGACGTTTTTCTCATTTTTCCCCTCATCTTAGTTATTTGATTACCTCCTTAGATACCTTTTAAATTGCCCTTTCATTTTGTTCTCCTCTTTTGTATATTCCTCTTCCGTATAGAAATATACTTCAACCATTTTCCTCAAAGCTGTGGTCACATTTTATTACAATGCAGTAAAATTATACTACAAGCTCAGTGCAAATATGCTTCAGTATTTTGTACATGCTATTCTTTTTTGAATAAAATATGCTCATTGTCCCCCTTCTATCACATGCCGTAAACAATTCATGCTGTATCCTATTCAACCTGTGGCAAAACACTCATTTGTCAATAGTCGGCTTGGCTATCATTACTCTTGAAATATCAACATTTGGTCTGGTTTTTCAGAAAGAAACAATGGAAGAGTATTTGGCCCTTGATTGAAGCTAGCACTAGGGTTTTCAGGAATAAGAATCTATGAGTCTTCAGTCTCATATCACAAATATTGTGACATCCCACTGAATATGTCTTCTTTCTTCTGACATGTCAGCAATTGTTAACATTCTTCTCTACCTTTAGTTTAAATTCCCAGAAAAGAGCATCTTATGATCTGAGTGAATTACTCACTTCTGCTAAGCCAAACTCCTTCATGTCTGACCATATCTTTGCATTTTGACTTGCCTAGGGTTGAGTTATCTTGGATTACATGTCTGCTACTGGTCCAGTCATTGGTGGCATATAACATGGCTAACCAGTGGATAAGGGCTGTGACCTGGCAGTGCTCCTCATTCAAGCATGTGAGCAAGGAGATTGCAGTCACTGACTGACATCTCATTTTCAAATTATTTTTTTGTAGCACAATCTATTTAATTTTTACTTTTTAATTTTTGTGGATACATAGTAGGTCTATACATTTATGAGTTACATGAGATATATTGATACAGGTATGCAATGCTTAATAATCACATTAGGGTAAATGGGGTATCCACCACCTCAAGCATTTATCCTTTGTAACACAAACAATCCAATTATACCCTTGTAGTTATTTTACAATGTACAATTAAATTATTTTTGACTGTAGTCACCTGTTGTTCTAGGAAATACTAGGTTTTAATCTTTCTTTCTATTTGTTGTACCCATTAACCATCCCCATATCCCTCTCACCACCCACATACTCTTCCCATCATTCTGTGAGTTGTCTGTTCACTTTTTAATTGTATTTCTTTCACTGTACAGAAGCTTTTTAACTTGACATGATCCCATTTGTTTATTTTTGCTTTGGCTGCCTGGGCTTGTGGGGTATTTCTCAATAAATCTATGAGTTTTAATTGTTTTAAAACAATTAAATTAGATTGTTTTAATTTTTAGCTTCCCAAAATAAGTGAGTACACATGATGTTTGTCTTTCTGTGCCTGGCTTATTTCACTTAACATAATAAGCTCCATTTCCATCCATGTTACTGCAAATGGCTGAATCTCATTTTTTTTTTTTTTTTTAGTGGCCGAATAGTATTCCATTATGTGTAAGTACCATATTTTCTTTATACATTCATCTGTTGATGGACACTTAGGTTACTTCAAAATATTGGCTATTATGACTAGTGCTGCAGTAAACATGGGAGGATTGCAGATATCTATTTGATATACTGATTTTTTTTTTCTTTTAGGTATATAACTAGCCATGGGGTTGTAAGATAATATGGTAGCTCTATTTTTAGTTTTTTGAGGAATCTTCAAATTGTTCTCCACAGTGGCTTACTATTAATAATTTACATTTCCACCAACAGCGTACGAGAGTTCTCTTTTCTCCACATCCTAGCCAGCATTTGTTACTGCCAATTTCTGGATAAACACCATTTTAACCAGGGTGAGATGATAGCTCATTGTAATTTTGATTTGCATTTCTCTGATCATCAATGATGTTGTGACCTTTTCGTATACTTGTTTGCCATTTGTGTGTATGTCTTCTTTTGAGACATGTCTGTTAAAATCTTTTGCCCATGTTTTCATCATTTTATTCAATTTTTTCCTATAGGTGGTTTGAAATCCTTATATATTCTAGTTATTAATATCCTGTCAGGTAGGTAGTTTTCAGACATTTTATCCCATTCTCTAGGTTGCCTCTTCGTTGATTGTTTCTTTTGTTATGCAGAATTGTTTTAACCTGATACTATTCCACTAGCTCATTTTTGCTTTCATTGCTCGTGCTTATTGGGTATTACTCAAAAATCTTAAGCCAAGATTTTTGGCCTAGTCCAATGTCCTGGAGAGGTTTTCTAATGTTTCTTTGTAGTTATTTCTTAGCTTGAGGTCTTAGATTTACGGCTTTAATCCACTTTGAATTGATTTTCGTAAATGGTGAGAGGTAAGTGACTACTTTCATTGTTTTGCATATAGATACTCAATTTTCCCAGAACCATTTATTGAAAAACTTTCTTTTTCCCAATGTATATTATTGGCATCTTTGTCAAAAATGAGTCCACTGTAGATGTGTGGATTTATTTCTGGGTTCTCTATTCTATTCCATTGGTAGATATGTCTGTTTTTATGCCAGTACCATGCTGTTTTGGTTACTGTGGCTCTGAAGTACAATCTGAAGTCAGGTAATGTGATTTTTCCAGTTTTATTCTTTTTGCTTAGGATAGCTTTGGCTATTCTGGGTCTTTTCTGTTTCCATTTAAATTTTATATATTTTTTCTATTTCTGACATTGATATTTTGAGAGGGAGTGCATTAAGTCTGCAAATTGCTTTGGGAAATATGGACGTTTTAACAATATTGATTCTTCTGACTCATGAACATGGAATATTTTTCATTTCCTTGTGTTTCTTCAATTTTTTCATCAATGTTTTATAATTTTCATTTATAATTTTCACAAAGAAGATCTTATACTTCTTTGACTAAGTTAATTATAGGTATTTTATTTGTAGCTGTTATAAATTAGATAAATTTCTTATTTTTTTCAAATTATTTGCTCTTGGTATATAGAATTGCTATTGATTTTTATATGCTGATTTTTTTATCCTGAAACTTTACTGAATTTATTTATCAATTCTAATAGTTTTTATATGGAAAATTTAGGTTTTTCCAAATATAAGATTATACCATCTGCAAACAAGGATCCCTTAATTTCTTCTTTTCCAAATTAGATGCCCTTTATTTCTTTCTCTTGCCTCATGCTCTAGCTAGGACTTCCAACTCCATCTTGAATAACAATGGAGAAAGTGGACATCCTGCTTGTCCTCCTGATCTTGGAGAAAAGGCTTTCAGTTTTTTCCCATTCAGTGTGATACTAGTTGTGAGTCTGCCGTATGCGGCTTCCATTATGCTGAGACATGTTCTTTCCATACCCAGTTTTTTGAGGGTTTTATCAAGAGGGGATGTTGAATTTTACCAAATGCTTTTTCAGCATCAATTAGCCTTGCATCCCTAGGAAAAATCCCACTTGGTCACGACAAATGACTTTTTAATTTGTTGTTAAATTCTGCTTACTATTATTTTGCTGAGGGTTTAGGCATTAATATTCTTCAGAGTTACTGGCCTGTAGTATTATTTTTTTGAAGTGTCTTTCATTTTGGTATCAGAGTAATATTGGCCTCATAGAATGAGTTTGGAAGTATTTCCTTCTCTATTTTTTGGAATAGTTTTGGTAAGATTGATATTAGTTCTTTAAATGTTTGGGAGAATTAAGCAATGAAGCCAATGGGTCACAGGCTTCTCTTTGCTGGGAGACTCTTTATTACAGCTTCTATCTTGTTACTTGTTATCAGTCTGTTTAGGTGTAGGATTCCTACATGGTCAGTTTGGTTTTAGTTGCCTAGAAATGTGCCCATTTCTCCTAGGTTTTCCAATTTATTGCCCTATAGTTGTTCATAATAGCCACTAATGATCCTTTGAATGTCTATGAGATCAGTTGTGATGTCTTTTCTCATGTCTGATTTTATTTATTGGGTCTTCTCCCATTTTTTCCTTGTTAGTCTGGCTAAAGGTTTGTCAATTTTAGACATTTAGGTTGATTCCACTGACACAAAAAGGGGAACAACAGACACTGGGCCTACTTGAGAGCAGAGAGTGGGAAGAAGGGCAGGATCAGAAAAAATAACTATTGGGTACTAGGCTTAGAACCTAAATGACAAAATAATCTGTACAACAAACTCTTTTGACATGAGTTTACCTATATAACAAACCTGCACATGTACCCTTGAACCTAAAATAAAAGTCATTGAGAAAAGATAAAAAAGAAAAGTTGTTTTATTTATTGTTTTTATTGGTTCATCATTTAGTCTTTCTACTTAAGATACAAGTGGTTTACACACCACAGTTACAGTGTAATAATATTTTGTGTTTTCCTGTGTACCTACTATTTCTAGTAATTACTGTATCTTCACTGCTTATTGCTCATTAACATCTTTTATTTCTGATAGAAGAACTCTCTTTAGCATTTCTTATAGGAAGGGTCTGATGATGAAATCCCTCAGTTTTTTTTTTTTTTTTTTTTTGGTCTGGGAAAGTCTGTATTTCTTCTTAATGTTTTAAGAATATATTTGCCTGTTACAGTATTCTAGGGTAACAGTTATTTATTATTATTATTATTATTTTGCTTTTTTTCCTTCATCCCTTTAAATATGCCATGCCACTCTCTGCTGGGCTATAAGGTTTCCATTGAAAAGTCTGCTGCTAGACCTATTGCAGCTCCCATGTTTATTTCCTGTTTCTTTTTTCTTGCTGCTTTTAGGATTATTTCTTTACCCTAGACCTTTAGGATTTTGATTATTAAGTGCCTTGAGGTAATCTTCTTTGGGTTAAATCTGCTTGATGTTCTATAACCTTCTTGTACTTGGATATTGATATCTTTCTCTAGGTTTCGGAGTTCTCTGTTATTATCCCTTTGAATAAACTTGCTATCCCTATCTCTTTCTCTATCACTTAAGGGTAGCCTCAGCTGATGTTTATGCTGTTTACATGGGATGACACTCTGAGAGTCACTTTTGTAAAGAATAGCATGTTTTAATAAGGAAGAAGAGATCATTCCATTTAAAATGATGCTGAGACATCAAGTAAGATGAACAGAAGATTGTTCATTCACCTTAGCAAGATCACTTGTGGTCTTCATAAGAGCCATTTTAGTAGAATGGGTTGGAGACATAATGAAGTATAGTAGAGTGAACACAACAAGCCTAAATAATTCTTTCAAGAAGTAGCTTTTAAAAAATATTAAAATTGCTTATATCCTTTGGGCAGTGAGAGAAGATATACTCCAGAGCGCAACTGGCAGGTTTTCCCTTAGAACAGAAAAGAGAATTCCCACATGATATTAGAGAAGAAAAATAAAGTTGGTCATACACGATGAGGTCATCAACTCCATCACCAGAGAAGGAATTTTAAAAAAATTACTGGAAAGAAGGGTAAGTTATTTTCTAGAGTATCTACTAGGCTTTTCTGGCAATAATGGATGCCTATTTGAGATTTGTGATTATAAATTTAAAGGGAGACCAGGTAGAGCTGGAAGCCAGTATTGGCTATTAAGTTAACATTGCAACTCTCAAGTCAGAACATTTGAATTCAAATCTTGCTTCTATCACTTATTAGTTGTGTGACCTTGGGCCAATTAGTTAACCACTTAAAAGGCAAACTGCGTTTTATAATATTAATTTAGATGAGAACATGTCAACATTTGATGGTCTAAATACTACTGTGTTAAACAATTTATTGTTCTACTCTAGGTAGATAATGAGTGCCATGTCTCACTTTAATGCTAGGCCTATAGCAGACTTGCCTGAGTCTGATCAAACAAGTAGTGGCCCCGTGACTATAATGTAGTAAGTATTGTGTTTGTTCCTAAAACATTGGGACTCAATCTAGGAAAAAACACAATACGAAGAAGCTTGTGTTCTTGATTTTGTGAAACACTCTCATCCCTGCTTTTATGGTTGCTTTGGTTTTGTGCCATTAGAAAAAACGAGGTCAGATAATGAAAAAAAAAAGAGTCACACGTCTTGGGTAGTTTAATCAATTATTTGTTAAACATCTTTTCTTCAGTGAAGGTTCTCCAGTGAGCATTAAATGTAATTAAAGTATTTTCAAACTTGGGATAATTATTGGAGTAAATTTCATGATCTTTCCCAAATCTTCATTATTATCTAATATTTCTGTCTTGCTACTTCCAAATCACCGACCCACTAGTCAAACTAGTCAAACTTACTAGGACAGTCAGCTTCATCGGCATGTGCTCTGTACAGTCACACAGAACCCCATGCTGAGAAGGGTTCCTGCTTTGTTAATGCTTTGCTTTCACCATCTTGAAATTCTTTAGACTTGAGTTTTCTAAGTGAAGCCTGATGGAACATTATAGCCTGCATGTAAACAGAGGGGACACACTGGGTGTCAGTGCAAACACATGGCAATGGTCCAGCAGCAGTCAACCCATGCTAGCTCAAGCTTGTGGGACCAGTGGGAAGGACGAATGCGTAGCAATTGGCAATGCATGCAAGCAAATGCCTTGGGGATGTTTGTGGTACCATGGGGCTTCAAGGGGGCTGCCAAAGCAGGACCTGCTCCCAGATAGGAAGCAGCAATGGCTACAGAAGCAACAAAAATGGCAGTGGCAGTAGCCACAGGAGGAAAAGAGGCTGTGCTTGTAGTGTCAGGACATGTGGTGGAGGCTGGCTAGCTTGTCTGTTTCCAGAGCCTGTGCCTGAGGCATCTTTAAAGATATTAACTCTCCAGTTTGAGTGCTGGCAGTCAAGAAGCAAACTATATCAGTAAATTATTACAAAATAAAAGTTTATTCTGAATGTCATAATGAAGACTACTGGGATTCCTAGAAAGAACACTTCTAAGCGATTAGAATCTCCAGTATTAATAACTGACACAGCGTTGCAAATTAAATATACACAGGCTTAAATATAGAAATGACATTTAAACATTGAAATATTGGAAAAGAACACTATTTTTATATGAGATTTGGGATACAGTGATATATTTCATAAACAGGCATTTTGAATTATGTACAAATCATGAAGTTGCTCTCTTCAGAAGAAAGTTGCTTTCTTCATAGAAGTGTTTCTTCTATGACCTCCACAGTTATAGGAGTTATCAGAGGAAACATTAAAATGTTTTTGCATAAATTCTCATTTAAATTAAATTCAGACTTACACAAAACTGACTTCTATGAAGAGTTAAATCTTTTTAGAAGAAATGTGAGAAATATCAGGTCTAGAGGTACTAAAATATATATTTCAAAATGATTTGTCAAAAACATTTCATCCCTGTCACACCTTATGAAATACTCTCAATAGTTCCAGAAATTTTCAGCAACAGAAAAAAATTTCTTCTCAAAATTAAAAATTATCAAAATTATTTGAGATCTTGCATTTATCAAGAGCAACTGAAGTTATTTTCAATCATATAAATTGTAAATAAAGTGGTGATAACTATAAATTTTGATAATTTACCAAGCAAATTTATAGAAAAATGAGAAAAAAATCTTATGGTCAATAAATATTTTACAGTGAGAAGTTATTGTTATTTATGGCATTATACATAGAAAAACTGTAAAATGTGTAAAAATTGCTACAACTATAAAACATATTTACAATTTATAAATTAATATTGTTTCTCACGTATCACCGGTATACCTATTATGTTTTATCAGTAACAAATTGTTTTAAAGAAGAATGTTACATTTTTGCATATTTAATAATGAGGTACTAAGCAAACAGTCCCACATTTTTATTTTGCACTGGGCAGTACAAATTATGTAGTGTAACTTGCCAACTACCTATAAATTATTGCAAATCCTACCTCTAGTTAACCTCCTACTCAGGCAGAGTAAACCTTGAAATGTAATGTTTAAAGATCTACTGTTGGGAGAATCTTTTGTTTATTTCTTAAGTGCCCCTGAGAAGGAATGTCTTTCACTGCCCACACAGACTCATCCAGGAAATATTTCCAATCTTTGGGTGTAGATGCCAGATTTTATATCATTGATAACACCCCACCATATTAATTAATGTTGGATGTTTAAAAGCTATCAGGGTAGCCAGTCCATAAGGTATTCAGTGAATTATGCCAGGGCATTTAATAACACAAAAGGGCCAATTAGATCCAATTTTTAGTTTTGATTTCATCATTTTAGAGTTGTATGATCTTGGGGTGGTAGGGGTGGTGACTCTCATGCAATCTCAACATTTTGGGAGGCCGAGGAGGGCAGATCACCTGAGGTCAGGAGTTCGAGACCAGGCTAGCCAATGTGGTGAAATCCCATCTCTACTAAAACTAAAAATTTAAATTAGGCTGGCATGGTGGTGAGCACCTGTAGTCCCAGCTACTTGGGAGGCTGAGGCAGGAGAATCTCTGGAATCAGGGTGGCAGAGGTTGCAGTGAGTGGAGATCAGGCCACTGTACTCTAGCCTGGGTGACAGAGAGAGACTTGGTCTCAAAAAAAAAAAAAGTTGTATGATCTTGGACAGCTCACTTAATTTTTCTCGGCCAAAGTACACTGATTTGTAAGATGATAGATTTGTTCAGATATCTTTTGAACTCCCTTTTAACTACAAAATTTTATATAACAAAAGTAAATACTTCAAATCACAATGATGGTCAACTTCTCAAACATAAATGCGATAACCAGAAAAATAGAGAATTATAATTTTAAAGCAAAATTAATAATAACTTAAATAGTGGAAGGTGTCATTACCTACATACTCCTGGATTGTATCACAGAATCAGTACAGATCAGCTTTATATAATTAAGTGGTCTGGTTTTACCGAAGAGTTCCCATTTTGGCTGAATAAAAATAGCAGCATAAACCAGGGTATAACATTGACAAACTTAGTTACAACATTTTTTTTCTTTTTTAGACACTCTACAATTTGGCCTGTGTTCCCTAACCCATAATCTCATTTCTTTGTTTTCTTTTTTCACTTCTATATGTTGGATTTACACTATATTTCAGAGAGCATATTACCAGGTATCAAAATAGAGGGTTTTTTTCAATTAAATTTAGAAAACCTTTCTGAAGCCTAGTATTCTCGTATTAAGAAAGCCATGTATTCAAGAAATTTCCTGATTTATCTTTACAGCAACATGAAAAATGCATTTGTTTTACCAAAAATAAAGCAACCAGTCGTTAG
Organism: Homo sapiens; assembly: GCF_000001405.40. NCBI lineage: Eukaryota > Metazoa > Chordata > Mammalia > Primates > Hominidae > Homo > Homo sapiens. Next base: position 85,630,869 of record NC_000007.14, read on the forward strand.
AAAGAAGTAAGTATTTTCTTGTTCCCAAAGTGTCACAGGTCATTAACTGAGTGGCTAATTGACAGGTATGGTATAGTGTTGTCTGTTCTTAAGCAAATAAGCTTATTCTTCAGTGAAGAGCCCTAAATAGTGTGTTGTGATTGCTTAGTGTGATGGAAATGAACAGCCCTGAGTAATTGATTGCAGTGTTCACAATGCCTGTTTGTTTTTAGTATTCTTTGCAATCTCTGGATCTGTTTATTCTGGGCCTACTCATTCCTTGGTCCCAGACACTCTGCTGGTTTTTGAACAGAGTTCAGACTGTTCTTTGTAACACAGCCTTACAAACAAGGATGAGGAGATGTGCAATAGCCTGGTGTTGATCTGAAACTTCTGAAGGATTCTGTTCAATACTTGGCACACTGCACAGACTTTGAGCAAATAAATGGATTTCAGATCAGTCTTCCACTTCTTAATTTGACTTCATAAAATGGAGGAAACCATGTGGATGAAATTAGGAAATTTAGATTAGAACAAGAAATTATTCTGGAATGGAAGGCATGCTATGCTCTAGAGTCCTCTTTTAGATAGGATGTTGGCCAGAAACCTTACTAAAACTAAAAGGGAAATGCTTAGTCATTTCCCCATCTTAAACTGCATACTATGTTAAAACAAGAGAAAAACAAACCTTCCCTAAATTCGGTCAAATGATAATTTACAAAATTGTTTAATAGAAATCAGTGACAAAATTAATACTTCACAAATGTATATCATGCAAAATGAATCAACTATATAGCATTTATTTTTATTTTAGAATAAAAAGTTCAGAATCATATTATCCAAATTATTTTTATACATACTCTGTTTAAAACTTGAAAAATGTAATTAGCAATTTATCATTGATACTGTCATCTTTCTAAATATCTTCCAGTTTAACAGGCTTTATTGATGAAAGCATTGACTGTTTTTATTTCACAATGCAGTCATATGGAACGATTATTATTATTTATGCTTTTTTAGAAGTCACATGAAAATAAAAATGTACTCATCAATATTGTTTCTCAGCTTATCAGCTACAAAATAGCTAGCAAAAATCGAAAAATTTTATTACCATCGTCAACATTAACTTACTGTAGATTGAAATTTGGGTCATTTAAAAATCATTTTTTTAAAAAAATATTTTAATTACTTCATTTTAAATTAATGTATAATAATTGTACATATTTATGGGGTACATAATGATATTTCAATACATGTTATGTGTAATGATCAGATTAGTGTAGTTAGCATATCCGTCATCTCAAACATTTATTATTGCTTTATGTTGGGAACATTCAATATCCATCTTCTAGCTATTTGAAACTATGTAACATATTATTGTAAACTAAAATCATCCTACAGTGGTATAGAAAAATAGAACTTATTTGCCCTTTCTTGCTGTAATTTTGTATTCTTTTAAAAATCTCCCTATCCACTTTTACCCCTTACCCTATCCAGCCTCTGTTCTACTTTTTACTTCTCTGAGATCAACTTTTCTAAGCTTCCACATGTTAGTGAAAATACGAGGTGTTTAACTTTCTGTTCTTGGGTTATTTCACTTAACAGTATGTCCTCTGGTTCCATTCATGTTACCACAAATGACAGAATTTTATTAATTTTTATGGCTGAATTGTATTTTATTGTCTATGTATGCCACATTTTTTGTCCAGTCATCCGCTGTGGAACAGCACAGTCGATTCTCTATCTTGGCTTTTGAGAATAGTGCTGCAATAAACATGGGGGTGCAGATGTATCTTTAATATACTGATTTTCTTTCATTTGGATAAATGTCCGGTGGGATTGCTGGGTGACATGGTAGTTGTATTTGTAGTTTAAAAATATTAATTCTGCATGTTGCTATTTCTATATAGTTTGTATTTAATTGACCTTTATATATAGTTAATTTCTTGGATCCAAGAAGGTTAAACCTGAAACAATCAAAAAACTTAATAGCTGTTTATTCATGGAATTATGTCCTTCCAAATTAATATGTTGAAATCCTAACTGCCAGTACCCAAAATGTGACTTTATTTGGAGAGAGGGTTTTCACAGAGGTAATCAATTTAAATGAGATCATCAGAGTGGACCCTAATCCATAATGACTGTTTTATTTATAAAAATAAATATTATACATACGGCCAGGCGCCGTAGCTCACACCTGTAATCTTAGCACTTCGGAAGGATGAGTTGGAGACCAGCCTGGCCACTATAGTGAAACCCTGTCTCGACTAAGAACTAAAAATACAAAAATTATCCGGACACAGTGGCCCGCACCTGTAGTCCCAGCTACTTGGGAGGCTGAGGCAGGGGAATCACTTGAACCTGGGAGGCAGAGGCTGCAGTGAGCCCAGATCATGCCACTGCACTCCAGCCTGGGTGACAGCAAGACTCTGTCTCAAAAAAAAAAAAAAAAGGAGTTAGTTCGGAGAGAGATGCGCATATAGAAAGCCATGTGAAGATGAAAGCACGGATTGGGATGATGCTTCTATAATTCAAGGAATGCCAGAGATTGCCAGAAAACGACCAAAGGCTAGGGACAAGGAAAGGAACAGGTTCTTCCTCACAGATCTCAGAGAGAAGAAACCTTGTCAACACTTGATTTAGGACTTTTAGCTTCCAGAACTTTGATAGAATAAATTCATGTCATTTAAACCATCCAGTTTGCAGTACTTTGTTATAACAGCCCTAGCAACTAATAAAATCGCACCATGTCATATATATAATGTGCATGATACGTATTAAAACATATATGCACGTTTATAACTCATATTTTTATCTCTTTATCACACATACTATATATGTATATATGAGTGTATGCAAATGCATGGACAGAGAACATTTTTAACAGTGGTGGTGAGAGTATATGAGAGGGATTGTTAAAGGGTTGTGTTCATCTTTAACATTCTAATTTGTAAAAGGACAAATTAATAACCACTTATGGAATTTAATTATAAAGAAAATAATAAACTTTAACTTTGAACTTGTGTTGAAGTTGTTATTATATTTCATCTGAAAAATTACAAAAGTTTCCTCCTGGTTTTCCTTTATTTAAAATCTCACATAATTTATTATTTCTCCACTAGTAGAAATCCTATTAACACTTCAAGAACTAATCCTTACCCTAACACTGATAAGTAAAAGTAGTTATTCCTTTGATTTTTGGTATAAAACTTAAAAACTTGATATTTTATAGGGATAGTTTGGTACATTTTTGTGTCACTTACTAGAGTGCGAGCTTCTTGGTATGAGAGAGTTTTCTGCAAACATAATATTTATCATTTTGCTTTATAAAAACAGGGATGTTTTAATTATTTTTTGAATTTTACAATATACTGACTAAATGGAGGCTAATACCACAGCATTCAGGAGCATATATTTTGGCACTGGACAGATTTGGACTTTTATTTCAGCTCTGACAGTTACTTGTTCTGTGATCTTGGGCAAATAACCTAAACATGTATCATTTAAATAATGGCACTGAGCTCAAAGGTTTATTGTTGACATTTAATGTGAAATGCATATACAATTTTTTTGGCACCCTGTTCTTAGTGTTAGCTTTTATATAAATACATTTTTGTTTCTTGTATCAAGTAGGTCTATAGATTTTAACTGGCAGAAGATCTTCATCCAGAAACTAAGACTCTACAGCACTATATTAAGATCCATGATGAAGCAAGTAGGCTGGGCACGTTTGAATAACATAAATGGAAATACTAGGGGCAGTGATTATCTGGTAATGCAGGTGCTCATCTCATGGTGATTGTGGAATAATAATTACAAATATATATATATATATATATATATATATATATATATATATATATATATATATACACACACATATATAGAGACAAATATATAGATGCATATGTCTTAAAACCCTTAAAAATCTCTGTAGTTACAGGGGTGGTGGGAATCTTTTGTTCTGTTACTTAATCTTTGCTCCTGGTTCCTGTCACAGGGCTTCTAAATCCCTTGGAATTTCCTAGGTGATAGTGACATATTTTGTTCTAATGAGCTGAATCTTGATAGGCTCCTAGATAAAGCTTCAGGATAGAAAGACAAAAGCATAATAAGAAACTTAGAACTTACAGCTGGACAGAAGTGTTGGTAATCTGGGGAGCCACTACTCATGGTTGGTGTTTGAAGAAGGAGGTAGTATTGTGGTCTGAGCCCTTAACCTGGGGATTCTGCCCTAACTCCAGGGAGTTTGTGCCATAATAGAATTGTATGACACGCAGTTGATGTCTGAAGAGTTGTAGAACTGGTTAGTCTGGGTAAAACTGGCACATCTGGTGTCAGAAGTAGTGAATGTAATAAAGAAAAGAGTTTGTTTTTTCTGTATAGTGATTTACCCACATAAACATTGACAGTGTGTTTCTCTCTCTCTCTCCTTGTTTTGACCTCTACTGGTACTGTTTTAATCCTAAATTCCGTGTGATTGACTTTTTTTTTTTTATTTTTTGATGGCTTCTTTATGCCAGCTCCTGATTTTGCTTACCTGATATCCACAGACCATCTGATTGTTTATCCTGTTTACCCCACTTTTGCTTGAAAATGTGGCTACATACTTGAACTTGGAACATGTTCTCTTTTAGAATCTGCAGCTGGAGAAGGATGTGTAGAAAGATCTGAGAGAGAAGGCAAAGATGGCAAATAGTCTGGAAACATTGTTAAATGAAGAACAGTTGTGGAAAAAGCTAGAAAAGAAACAAAATACTAAGAGACATTAGCAATAGTTTTTAAATATTTGAAGAATTGGCATGCAGATTCTGGAGTGAACTTTATTTCCTGGAGATCAAAGCAAATAGTAATGGTTGAAAGATAGAGAATGAATAGAAATTAATTTCAATATAAGATTCTTTACACATATTTAAATATCTCTCTTTACATTTTTTTGCACTTGCTTTGTTAAATGCATCTGATACATTCTGTCAACTAAGATGCCAGAAGCAGATGGAGTATGATGTGAGTAATCTTGAGAAGCGATTGTAACGACCACCCATTTCAAGCACACAGCATCTGCAGATGCTCTGTTACAGCTGCCAGCCCTACCTTACATATGATGCATTGGACTCCAAAAACACAACAGAACCTGTACTCCTGATGTGAAAACGAATGCTATTTGGGCCCTTTTTCAACTAGGGGCCATGTATGCCTCTCCCTGTTCTTCCTTCCTAAAGTCTCTTCTTTCCTCACAGAATTTTATCTCCATCTTCAGGCATTCTCCCATTTCCCGCCTTTTGCTGTCAAGTACTAGTGACCGAGTGTTTTGTTGGAAAGCATAGTTGCTATTCCTCGGACTCTGGAATTTTAAATGGTATCTTCCTTTTCCTTATGGTGGCTCATTGAATGGTCCATCCTCTAAGCATTTTTGGTAATCCCTCTTTTGAGTACAGCATCCAAATTTCTGGTCTTCATGAAAAAGCCTTCTAGGATAGCTTTCAGATAATATAATTATGGGAAACACACAAAAAAACTGATTGCTTTAATTAAAACATTTCAGCAAAGGCTGAATGCTGTAACTACTAGGGATACTGCAATGCTTACCTTAGCAGGAAATTGAAATATGAAATTTGTATATCTATAGGAAACCTCCTGGACCCACTTCAAATTCTCTTTGTCTGAACTCTTATTTTAGACATTTCTTTATTGACAAGTCCCAGAAGTCTTCATTCACGTAGGTATAACATGGATGTGCCTTGACTCAGACTTCAGCCTCAGTCCCCTCACTTCTTCCCGTTGGTCTTCACTGATACTGCAACATGGGACAGCCAGGGGAATGTAGTTGGCACATTTTCCAGCACATCTATAGGGAATGGGGGTTATTATTCCATTAGACAGCTCTCGATGCTAAGACTCAATATGGCACCGTTCCTCCCAAAAACCAACCACTTGGCAGTGTGTGGATGACCATCATATCCCTTCCATCCTAGAAAGATAAGTAATTCATTCTTAATATAAATAACACAAAAGCCAGATATGGGTTCTATTTCTCTGTGTACAGTGCATCTACAAGCATCATCATCTATATGCCTGCTTTACCAGCATAGTATATAGCACAATATTGTCTCATATCAACTCTCCCATTTTATGTCAATAGAGATGCAATAATAGGCATGAAACTATGGGATCTGCTGGTCTAAAGTACACTCTGTCACTCCAAAGCAACTGGTCTGATGAAATGATGAAATAGTCTGTTATTATAAATAACCTGTTATCCTTTGAAATATAAAATATATTTCTATAAAGACAGCACCAAATCTCGAGCCCACTCTGTATAAGTCTGTCCCAAGGCTGCTCTGTCCAAGCACTCAAAATATGCAAATAGAGAGTGTGAGGAAATTAATATCTCATGGAGCATTATTTTAACATAAGGATAGAAACTGATAAATAAGTATTATTCCTTTTTTTTCTGCCAAGTAAGCGTTCGTGAGGTTTCTTATATGGTCTTAAGAAATCAAGTACCTTGTTTTCATAGCAATGGTCAATTTGATAGCATTGAGTCTCTCCACATTTCTGATTTCCTTGTCTCATCCTTCACTCTTGGTCTCTGGGATTTCTCTCTCAAATAAACTAGTCATACATAATCCTTTGTCTCAGGCACTACCTTCTGAGAAACACAGGATAAGAAATACTTAAAGTCCCTACCAATATTGGCAATGTATCTATTTCTCTAATGGTAATTGCACTCTAAATCTGGCCAACTTTTCCATAATAGCCCAGCAGAAAGATCCTGGGCTCCTTATTCTGAAAGGAGCTGTCACTATTTGCTTTTGATCGAAAGGCCAAGAGGGTACAGTAATAACCTATTTTTAGTCCGTGGCTTAATGTGTACAGTTTTGTGCTATTAATCATTTGAAAGACAAAATAAAACTGAATCAAAATGGCATGATTAACCCAACAGTGCCAAGTTTAGGTATTAGTATTTGACAATAAGGACATGCAATAGAAATATTTGGCAATGGTTGTTGCTGTGGGTTTATGCAGATGAGAATGGACAAGTTTTCTCTGAGGCCATGAAAACCACAACATCATTATTATAACAAAAATAACATTAGACAAAGGGTCTTGAGGATTGTATCTGACTTACTGTGAAGAAATTAAGACATTTTTAATCCTTAAATATTGTTTTATTATTTAATCAAATATAAGAGCATGAGAAATTCTGCCACTTAATCTTCTGATGTGATTAAGCTTAGTCTGTTTTGTGAGTGCTACCATGACAGATGATGACTAGACTTGTAGATTTTGGCTACTGATACACCTAACTGGTTTGCTGTCAGTTGAGGTGAGTTACTCTATTATATTCAGATGAGAGCTGGGTACTTAGGATTGCCACTTTTAACTACCATTTCCTCCTACTTGCAGAGGTTAAAAAGCTAAAACACAAAATTTCCCAGAGTCCTTTCCTGGTTCTAAATGTAAAATGCGTTTTGCTCATTGGATATATTTGATGAAATTTTGGAAGGCAAAAATGAGGTTACACTTAGCTTCCTGTGGCTCTTGACTATCACAGCAAGCTAGCAGTATAGATTTATGGGGCTTCCCCACAGTGGTATTCTAATGTCCCCTCCCCAGCTTCCTAAGTATAATAGATACTTACAGAATGATAGTGGTTGTTTCTTGCTCTCAGTATAGCCTCAGAAGAGTAACTGCTATAGTGGTTCAATGCTGTATTATTTATGGAGATATTCAAGGAAGTCATGCATTCCAGGAGCCTATTTTTTTTTTTAGCAATTATAATGACTTCCTAAGCGGTTTAATTCCTTGAGTCAAATATCTTGCTGCTTAGAATGTCCAGAATGGCTTCTATTTTCTTCCCTGGTCCCTAATGGATGAACCCAGTTAAACAGAACTAAACCTCATGACATAGTAAAGAGTGAAATTTCATGTGATTGAGGAAGTACCATCACAGAGATAAAGACTATGTAGTGATATCTATGTCCACATAAAATTTTTTTTGTAAATACCATGTGTTAAATATATTAGCAAAAGTGAGAGAAGCAAGGTCCAAGATAAAAACCCTTGGCTTGTGTTTATTTTTGAAGGACTTAATAGAGTTAGATGGATTTGGTGACTGGGAAAGAGATGACACTAACCTTTGGGCATATGTGTATGCTGGACTTTAAACCATGATCCTTTCTGTTGACCTTAAAAAAATAACATAATGTCCTTTTTTGAAAAGAAGGGGGGTACTTAAATTTTACCTGACTTTGATTTTTTTAAAAAAATGTAAAAATACAAGATATACCTACACACTCTATGTTCAATTCCTAGCTCCCATTTAATGATCTTCAATTCAGAGTAATATTCTGAGGGAAAAAAACATTTTCCACACTGGGCACTCATGTTTCTTTGATGAATGAAGGAAAGCTGTTATTACAGCCAATGAATGTGCATCCTGGACCCCATAAATTCCTGACACTTCCATCAATACCCAGAAAACACGGTTTATCAACAGATTGTAATTTTAGGAGCAATTCATAGACTCTAGAAGATGAGAGTTTAAATGACACTAGACAACACCTGATTTTCTGAATATTAGCTCTTTGTTAGCTTATTTTTTAATGAGTTTTAAAACAGTACCAAGTCTTACTGGCATTATCATCTGGAATTCATTAAATATAACATGTATGCAAGAACTTTTTTAAAGTTACACATTTTTCAGTTTTAGTAAGTGGTGAAAAAGCTGACTCTTAGAATATATTTCCAATCATGTTATTTTATTTTTGCAGTAAAATATGGATTATTTCCCATGTTCACTCAACAGCTCACAGTGACTTTTGAAATTATGAATGGCATACAAAAACAGTCTCTTGCTCTTTTGTGTTGCAGCTGTTACCACTATCTCTGTTTATAGGACTCTATGCATTTTTCATAATCTTTACTCTTAAATAGTGATTTGCATGGCACAAAAATGTACAAATTAAAATAAATTAAATGGCATAGAAATCCCTCAAAGATACAAAGTTTTTAAATGAAGTCCAGTTATTTTCAGATATCCTGAAGATGCAGTTATAAGAACAATGATCATTAAAACATTCATTGTGCTAAACATACAGTGAATAAAGAGAAAATACACCAAAAACACATCTTTAATTTCTTTAGAAGCAAGAATAAAAATTTTATGAAAAATAAAAATACGGTGATGGAAGTGGCCTGGGCTTGGATGTTGAGAAGTATATTTCTGCTATTTACTGCTCTACTGAATATAACTTCTATGCTTGCTTAGAGTTTGAAAAAGTATGCATGTTGTTGACTTACTGATTATTTAGTACAATGCTTCTCTTAGTGCAGCATTGTCACTGGTGACCTCTTTGTCCTAAAATTAAGAAGATATTAAAATAGATATTTTTACTTAATTTGAATTTTTAATATCTGCCTCTGTCAAGCTGCTTCAATGCCTGCCAAAGAGGAATGGAAATGAATAAATTCTAAAAATATTTCTCTTCCATTGGCCTGAAACATTCCTTTGAGACAGAATTGAAAGTTTTAGGGGTTCCTCTTCTATCACAGAGGTGATCTGTTCATACAGTGAGTTGAATGACTAATGCATTAATGTCTGGAAGACAGACAATGGAGATTTTAGCAGAGCTAGCATGTTCCCTCTGCAACCCCCATGCACTCACACTCCCCCAACACACACACTCACTTTTATAAAAGCACCTATCATTTCAAGTTCATGTGGTAATTGTTTACCAGGAATTGCCTTCACTTAAGGGAACAGAAGAAACAAAGAAAAAAAATTATCTGGCAAGAAGGTACATATGCCATTTATCCCTCTTTCTGTTGCTCTTTGTAGACATTCGAAGGATAATACGATCAAACAAATGCTTTATCTTCTATGCCAAAATTTCTCCAAGGAAATATTTCATTCGGCATATGGCTTTGACTTATCCTGTCAACCACCTCTCTTCTCCCACAATTTTTCCTTCTTTATTTCTTTTTTACATTAATATATTACACAAGGGAGTAATATTTTCACAAAGGAATCAAGCCAGGATTTAGAGCTCTTTCCTTAGGCTACTAATCATTTCACAAAATTAATTGATAGTTGCTGATGATTTTTCTCACCACTACTTAACCATTTGCAAGCGGTTTTCTACCCCCTCCCTAATCTGAAAAATATTTCTATCTTCAAAGTCAACAGTGTCTTTCCAATGGCTAATAACAAAGATTTTCTCTCTGCGTTCAATAATGTCACCCACTTATTAAAAATTTTGTTTCTGTGTTTATTTATGCAATATTATGTATTTAGGCTCTTTTTCTACTTTCCTTTCTTTTCTGTCTCCCAGCTTTCTCTTTTCCTGGTGTGTTTTCCACCATTCCTAAAGGTGTTCACCCAAAGTGTGTATCTCTCTTTGTCTTTTTACTCTTTATGATAAGCTTCTGTGATTTCATCATCATAATTTTGAGAGGAATCTAAAATTATACACTTAGTATTAGTCTTTTCTCTCCAGGTCAAACATATGAATTTAAAAATGGGTATGATAACTCTGCACGAATGATGAGGTATCTCAAATCCAGTATGCACTAAACCAAACTCAACATTGTCACTTCTTATGGCAGGCAGAATTTTAACTGTGACCAACATCTCCACTTTCCTGTCTGCACATCTTGCATAATCGCTGGGACTGTGAATATATGAGGAATTTTACTCCATGACTCAGTTATATTTTATGGTGTATTTGACATTAACAAAAAGAGATTACCCAGATAAGCCTAACCTAATAACACCAAAAACTTTAAATCCGAGTCTAGAGGTCAGAGACAGAGAAAGTCAGAGATATGGGCATGAGAGGGATTCAAAGCAGGGAAGAGTCTTTGTATCTGACTTTGAATATGGAGGGTAACAGCATGACAAGGAATGAAGGCAGCCTTTCAGTGCTGAGTGGTCCCAGCAACAACCATCAAGATAATGGAGATAGCTCTACAACCAGAAGAAGCTAAATTCTTCCTATAACCTGAATGAACTTGAAAGTAGATTTTCCCCTAGAGCCTCCAGATGAAAACTCAGCACAGTGGGACACCCTGAATTCAGCTTTATAATTGCTTGAACAGAAAAACCAGCCATGCTGTTCTTATATTTTAATCTGTGGGAGGAGGGGGTGTGAAGGAGAAAGAGAGAGAGGAGAGGAAGGAAACAAGGAAAGGAGGAAGGGAGGGGGAAAGTAAAGAAAAAATAATGGCTTCCTATCACTTACTAAAAGTCAAATACTTTAGCCAGAAATTTCACATGTAGAACCCTAAACTGGCATGTTAGTGCAATACATTTTAAGCAATGAAATAATGTTATTAAGGTCACAGGATCTGTAGCCAACTTGGGTTTGAATCCCACTCTTTTAACTATTTTCTTTCTATTCTTGGGCAAGTTATTTTATCTTTATGTGTTTTAGACTTTTACCCATAAAACAAGGATGTTAATAATAACACCAATCTCATAGGGTTATTTGAGGATCAAATGAGCTAATATATTAAGTACTTTACAAAGTACTTGGTCCATTGAAACCTTTATATATTTTAGGCTTATATTTTCTCAACCTAATTTTTAAGAATTAATCAACTATAATGTGTCTGCTTTATTCTCTGAATCACTTACTCTAGTGTGTTACAGTGTGTACTCAATTCCAGATTATTGAATGAATAATGATAGAGCAGACACTTTTTCCATGAGGCATAGCCACTCATCCTTCCTTGCCATGATACCTGAGTTTGTTCTGGTGTTTATGTGCTTCAAGAGGTTGGGCTCTTTTCCACCTTCTGTTGAGGAATCTTGTAGATCATAACCAATGGTGGTAACTCCATGCCCATGGCCAGTAATTCATTTAGAAGTAAACATGTGCCACAATTTTGGCCAAGGAAATGTTAGGCCATATCTGGCATGAGAGTGGAGGATGGCGTTGTCAGATAGTGTTTGTTGTTTTTAAAAGAAGGTATATAGAAAGCGGAGATTGTCTTTTCTGCCTCTGGATATTGTCATCTGTAACACCTAACACCTACGCAGCCATCCTGAAACAATGGGTAATGTTTATCTGAAAACAGAGTTAGCTGAAGAACACAAATTAATGTGATGAGGATGGCATAGCAAAAGATAGAAGGAACCTATCTTGTATCATGTCACTGAGCATTAGTAATGTTTAAATTGTCCAAGCTCAAGACTTACTCTTTTGTGAGATAATGAATAGCCTCAATTCTAAGCCATTTACAGTTACAATTTCTATTGCTTTGAAATGGAACACTCCACCTGACCTGATATGTATAAAACTCATATTAGCCACAGGATTAAATAATGCTAATTTTCTAGTTATAAAGTGTTCTCTAACATTAATTTTATATATCTGAAATTTTTAATAAACTGATCAAACCAGGTCTAATTTTCTCAATTATGCTCCTTGCTATAAAATCAGATATTTGTTTTTCATTACAGTTGGCTTTGGGTTAGTTACAGAGATATACTATTTCAACAACAATTATTATGAAATTTATGAAAGCCAAGAAAATGTAATCATCCTGTAGATAAATTAATTATTCTGGGAGATGTTTTAATATTTCAGACTAATTGAAAATGTGGCAAAAAATATGAATATGTGGCTCCATATTCTCAATAAATAAATAATTTTTTAATTGCATATATTTTGCTTGTGTAAACTGACTGTGCACTGAACCCATGCCCCTGTTATCCTAACTACACCCCACCTATAAATGCCTATTGACTTACTGATTTATCCAATTTGGATTCACAATAGACAATTCTTGACAATGGATGACTTAACGATTACTTTAAATGTGCTGAGAGATTACTTAAAAACGTTTGGAATATGGCTTCTGCCATAAATTCACTCAGATTATTTTGAAACATTGATTTTAACCTTACTAATTTGTTAACTAAGCAGAAGAAAAATACTATCCCCAATGGCATAGCATGAGGTAGGTTTAGAAGTAGAAACAGGACACATCCCATGTACATGACATAGTTTCCTGTAGATCGTCTCATATAGCTTAAAATCATGAAGAAAGTGAGATAATTACACTATCTACAAATCTTGAAATAATTTCTAACTCTCTCAGTGACAAATTTCTCTCTTTCCCTTAAATTCCAGATGCTACTCAATATGGGTAATTATTGGAATACTTTCTTTTGCCCTTAATTAAGTTTTCTACTTTTAGATACCCATTTAAAATTTAGTGAGTTTAAATAATTTGAAATTATGACAACACTAAATTTGTATGTAAAGATAAATTAGAGATTGAGTACACCTGTTATGACCAACACCACATCTGTGGGTGATGTTCTGAGTATTTGTAATTACAAGGCCTAAGTCATGATTTCATACTTAAAAATAGAAGATGTTTAAAAAATGAAAATGGCAGATCAGTAAAGCCATGTTTTTAATCGATATTTTTTATTTAACATTTGGGTTGGTCTACCCTCAAATTACCTTTGTTCATTAGATAGTAAAACAAAATTTTAACTAAAGACAGCTCTGTTACTCTTTGCCCTTTTTATTCTGAAAATCTGTTTCATGTTAGCACTCTGTGCATAAATAACAGAGTCAGAGAATTATGCGTGTCAAGTAGACACTCATTCATTTAACACATGTACAACACACTTTGCTCACCAACTTGCTCACCACCACTGGGGTTCAATTCTAGGTCACAAAGGAGATATCTGGGTTTTCTCTGAAGTAAATGGGGACATTTATTTTTCATCTAGGCTTTATTTTCTTTGTAGAAATGGTGCTATGTTTTAAATACCAAGATACAGAAAAGGAAGTTAGAAATTACAACAAAAGTAATTTTGTGATTGCAAGTTAAAACATATAAGAAAAATTAGCAAATGTGAATGAAGTCTGTATGTAAAAATAAATTTAAAACCCCATAATATCCAAATCCATTGTTTCAGTCTTTTCAGTTATCTTAAATTACATTTTATCTTTTATCATAGCAGGTCACATTTTTTGTGCTATTTATGTCAAACATAAATAAGACATTTCATTTAATGTTTGTTTAGTGCTATAGATAGATGCATCTTATTGTCTGGAAACGTGCATAATAGGAAAATCTCAATTAATTACAGCCTAACTAATCAGTATATTTTATAAGTAACAATTCTAGTATTTTATTTTACAAATAACAAAGGCTACTATAATTGCATTTAATTTCATCAGAGAAGTTGAGTATATTGGAAAAGATAAAGAAAGAAAATACAATCTGTATTAATATCTAACATTTATGAATGATACGGTTCTGCTGTTTCCCCCTTCAAATCTCGAACTGTATCTCCCAGAATTCCCACGTGTTGTGGGAGGGAACCAGGGGGAAGTAATTGAATCATGGGGGCTGGTCTTTCTCGTGCTATTCTCATGATAGTGAATAAGTCTCACAAGATCTGACGGTTTTATCAGGCGTTTCCGCTTTTGCATCTTCCACATTTTCTCTTGCTGCCACCATGTAAGAAGTGCCTTTTGCCTCCCACCATGATTCTGAGGCCTCACCACCCATGTAGAATTGTTAAGTACAATTGAACCTCTTTTTATTCCCAGTCTTGGGTATGTCTTTATCAGCAATGTGAAAACGAACTAATACACTGAGGTTCGGCATAGTGACATTTGTAGAAGTTTTAATAAACTGACTAAAACAAACAAACAATCAAACAAAAGAACTTCTGTTGCTATCTGAATAGATTCACTGAGCTGATAGTCATCATGAACAGATAATTAATATCTGTTAGTTTGGATAGTAACCATGGAGAACTCGTAAATCTTCCATCATTCAATATTTTACCTTCAACATGTAATGGGCAATTAAGTCATTTGCACTGATGTGCCTGTACCATTTTCCAATTCAGTGGGGGAAAAATATGTAAAGATATAACAAACAAAAATGAAAATTCATTTTTTAATAAGTCTGAATAACACAGAACTTTGTGTGTTTTTTCATAAATATACAATAGGTGTTTATTTCACTGAAAATTACAATTCAAGCAATGTGAACCTGAGATTTTGTTTTCATCATCAAAAAAAAAAGATGATCTTAAAGTTTACATCTCTTCAGTACAGAGTAAACAGTTAAATGTTGTATAAGCCCATGTAGACACTTAAAGCCAACAAGCTTTTTATTACTTTTTGTTAATCCAAGTCAAATAACCATTTTAACAATATATTAAAATATGAAATTCATTTATATTATATGAAATCAATGAGTAAATGCCAAAATAGTTTATTTTGAAATGTCCACTTTATTAATAATCAATCTCAAGCCAGCATTAAAAAAAGAAACTACTTGAAAATTGCTTCCACCACCACCAAAAGTCTCACTCTTGTAGATGCTGTATTTTATTTTATCTCAATAACATCTAATTTCATTTAGAAATAAGATAGATTTTTTTTTACTTCAGTTAATAAATTTGATTTATCTTTCAAAATGCAATTAATTATAACATGAATAGAAAATACCATAGAGGGGGCTTACAGAAGCACTTCTGATTTTATCCTTATGTGAGTGCTATGATATACTTAATAATATAAATAATAATATGATGAGCAAGATGAATATCCATGGAAAAATGTCAGTGTCAGCTAGGATGAGAGCAAAATATGTCTTTTTTTTTGACTTCTCAAATCTACATCCTTCAATTCCTGAAGCCACTCACATTCCCTGAAGTCACACTTTCTACCTTGTGTTCTGAGGTTATATCATCTGTCTCATTTACTACAAAGTTCACCAAGTGGAAACTTCCCTTAAAATCATTGGGTTTTGCATGCAGATTGTCTTGGCAGAGATATAGACCAAAAAGAAAAAAGTGGTTTAATAATTCTCATGGGTTGTAGACTTAGAGAAATTCGCCAGTAGATCATTACTGATGTGACAAAACTTATACCGTCTATCTTCATGAATAGGAGGATTATATATGGAAGACTTCTATATTAAGTTATGTTTAAGAATAGAGAATAGAATTTTCTTCTCAGTATAATTCCAAATAATATTTTATCCTCTAGTTCTAGTAAGTATTTTGATATTTAGTAACAATATTTTAAAATTTTGATAATTTTCTTATTCATTGCTGTGGCTCTAAATCATCTTTTATATTAGTATGTTTTATCTTCCCCTTTGTTATTTTGCAAGTACCATGTTTCTTAATTTAGAATTATATAGCTATCATTAGGAATATTGTTATAAATAAGAAAATAAACATACTTTTACAATACTTTTATTCATGTAATAGTTATTAGGTGGAAATGCTAATTCAAATTCTCGGTTAATATCTGAGATATAATGGTGATTAAGACACAGTTCCTGCTCTCAAGGAGTTCAGTTTAATCAAAGAAAAATATTAAACAAATAAAAAGCATTCATTGTTATATCTTCTTTTCCTATATGTAAAATGACAGGCTTTGAATCTTTTTTTTTTTTTTGAGACGGAGTCTTGCTCTGTTGCCCATGCTGGAGTGCAGTGGTGCCATCTCAGCTCACTGCAACCTCCACCTCTCGGGTTCATGCCATTCTCCTGCCACAGCCTCCTGAGTAGCTGGGACTATAGGCGCCCACCACCATGCATGGCTGATTTTTTGTATTTTTAGTAGAGACAGGGTTTCACTGTGTTAGCCAGGATGGTCTCGATCTCCTGACCTCGTGATCCGCAGGTTTGAATCTTAAATACTGAAAGCATCACTTATATATATGTTGTTGGTAATGACAATTGTACTCAATATACAATTTATCTTTTCATAAAAACTCAGTGCTATAATTTTAGATTATTTAAATGTGTCAAGTTGCACTATGGAAGCATAAGAAAAAGAACACTAAACTTGGCCTGGAAGGAGACAGAGATGTTTCCTCACTGTATTATTTCATTTTCATGCTGCTGATAAAGCCATACCCAAGACTGGGAATAAAAAGAGGTTTAATTGGACTTACAGTTCCACATAGGTAGTGAGGCCTCAGAATCATGGTGGGAAGCAACAGGCACTTCTTACATGGTGGCAGCAAGAGAAAATGAGGAAGAAGCAAAAGCGGAAACCCATCAGATCTTCTGTGACTTATTTACTATCACAAGAATAGCACAGGAAAGATTGGCCCCCATGATTCAATTACCTCCCCCTGAGTCCCTTCCCCAAAACATGGGAATTCTGAAAATACAATTCAAGTTGAGATTTGGGTTGGGGCACAGCAAAACCATATCATTCAGCCCCTGGCCCCTCCAAATTTCATGTCCTCACATTTCAAAATCAATCATTCCTTCCCAACAGTCCCCCAAAGTCTTAACTCATTTCAGCATTAACCCAAAAGTCCACAGTCCAAAGCCTCATCAGAGACAAGGCAATTCCCTTCCACCTATGAGCCTGTAAGATCAAAAGCAAGCTAGTTACTTCCTATATACAATGGGGGTACAGGTATTGGGTAAATACAGCCATTACAAATTGGAGAAATTGGCCAAAACAAAGGGGTTACAGGGCCCATGCAAGTCCAAAATCCAGCAGGGCAGTCAATTTAAAGCTCCAAGATGATCTCCTTTGAATCCAGGTCTTACATCCAGGTCACACTGATGCACAAAGTGGGTTCCCATGGTCTTGGGGAGCTCTGCCCCTGTTGTTTTGTAGGGTACAGTCTCCCTCCTGGCTGTTTTCATGGTCTGGCATTGAGTTCCTGTGGCTTTTCCACATGCACAGTATAAGCTGCTGGTGGATCTACAATTCTGGGGTCTGGAGGATGGTGGCCCTCTTCCCACAGCTCCACTAGGCAGTGCCCCAGCAGGGACTCTGTATGGGGGCTCCAACCCCACTTTTCTCTTCCACACTGCCCTAGCAGAGGTTCTGTGTGAAGGCCCCACTCCCACAGCAAACTTTTGCCTGGACATCCAGGTATCTCCATACATCTTCTGAAATCTAGGTGGAGCTTCACAAACCTCAATTCTTGACTCTTGTGCAATCACAGGCTCAACACTACCTGGAAGCTGCCAAGGCTTGGGACTTTCACACAGCCTGAGCTGTGCATCGTGAAGCCACAGCCTAAGCTGTACATTGGCCCCTCTCAGCCATGGCTGGAGCAGCTGGGACACAGGGCACCAAGTTCCTAGGCTGCACACAGCATGAGGACCTTGGGCCTGGCCCAGGAAACCGCTTTATCTGCCTGGGCCTCCAGGCCTGTGATAGGAGGGGCTGTTGTGAAGGTCTCTGGCGTGGCTTGGAGACATTTCCCCCCATGGTCTTGGGGATTAATAATAGACTCCTTGCTACTTATGCAAATTTCTGCAGCTGGCTTGAATTTCCCCTCAAAAAAATGGGATATTATTTTCTATCACATTGTCAGGCTGCAAATTTTCTGAACTTTCATACTGTTTCCCTTTTAAAACAGAATGCTTTTAACGGCACCCAAGTCACCTCTTGAATGCTTTGCTGCTTAGAATTTTTTTTCTGCCAGATACCCTAAATCATCTCTCTAAAGTTCAAAGTTCCACAAATCTCTAGGGCAGAGGCAAAATGCCACCAGTCTGTTTGCTAAAACATAACAAGACTCACCTTTGCTGCAGTTCCTAAAAAGTTCCTCCTCGCCATCTGAGACCGCCTCAGCCTGGACCTTATTGTCCATATCACTATCGGTATTTTGTCCAAAGCCCTTCAACAAGTCTCTAGGAAGTTCCAAACTTTCCCACATTTTTGTGCCTTCTTCTGAGCCCTCCAAACTGTTCCAACCTCTGCCTGTTACCCAGTTCCAAAGTCTCTTTCACATTTTCATGCATCGTTTTAGTAACTTTCCACTCTACTGGTACTAATTTACTGTATTAGTGCATTCTCACACTGCTGATAAAGGCATACCCAAAACTGGGAGAAAAGGAGTTTTAATCGGACTTACAATTCCACATGGCTGGGGAGGCCTCAGAATCACGGCGGGAGGTGAAAGACACTTCTTACATGGCTGCAGCAAGAGAAAACAAGGAAGAATTAAAAGCAGAATCCCCTGATAAACCCATCAGATCTTGTGAGACTTATTTAATATCAGGAGAAAAGCATGGGAAAGACTGGCCCATATGATTCAATTACCTCCCCCTTGGTCCCTCCCACAATATGTGGGAATTCTGGGAGATACAACTCAAGTTGAGATTTGGGTGGGGATACAGCCAAAGCTATCACTCAGGGACTCAATGTGTTACTGAAATGCTAGGCATTCAGTCTAGTTCCTCTTGCTTGCCCCACAGAAAACCAATATTAGGACAATGAGCATTGCCAGGGAAAGAGAATTTAATAGGATGGTGCAGAATGAGCATCGCCATGGAAGCAGAATTTAATGGGGTGCTTTAACAGGGTGCTGCAGCCAAGAATATGGGAGATCAGTCTCAAATGTATCTCCCCAACCAACTAAAATTAGGGGTTTATAAGGCAAGGAGAAATATAACTACATGTGAGAAAATAGGAATTAGGGAGGGGTAAGGAATAGGAGTTGGTCAACAGGCATCAAGTGGTCGATTAGGCAAACATGACAGATGAGGGATCTGACATCTTATTGTCCAGATGAAATGATCTGGTAAGTTTCAGTTCCTTGATACTATCAGTGAGACCTGAAGGTCGGTTTCCTGAGCAAGGAACTCAGATAAGACGAATGCAAGTTTAAAGTTTTAAGGCCAGGAGGGTCAAATTTCTGTTTATCCAAAAACCAAAAACACTAGTCCTATAGTGAAGGTGGGCAGGTTTCCAAAGTCCCTGGGTTGTCTTTTGACTGAATACATTGAAATAATGTTAAAAGTAGCCTACTTTAAACATTCTAATTTAGCTTTTCTGGAATAAGTTATCAAGAATTATACGTAATTAAAAATGTGTAAACTGATATGTTAAAAAATTAAGTTTTTATCTTTAGTTAGAGACACACAAGTTCCTGTTCCCAGATGCAATTGTTCTTACTAAATTAGTGGGTTTACTTCCAGAAATGCTCACATAAACTGTTTCTCTCTCTCTCTCTTTCTCTCTCTCTATGTGTGTGTGTGTGTGTGTGTGTGTGTGTGTGTGTGTATTTGTGTTAAACTTATGGATACATAGAGTTGTATAGTTTATAGGTATACAATTTATTTAAATAGTTCTAATAATAAACATCTATATAGTTTCTAAACTTTGCAAAGTTTTTTTCTTTTAAAAGATTGTTCAATTCTTACCATTGACCTGTGTATATGCCATATCAAGCTATTTAATGACTAGACTTTCATATTTTAGTATCTGATAAAAATAAAGATCAGATGTAATTTTTAGGAGTTCCCTGAATTTTTGGTTATTTATTTTCCTATGAAATCTTCGTAGTCTTTTAAAAATAGTAGTTGCATTTGAATAATTTTAAATTGATAAATTACTGTAGTGAGAATCACTATTTTTATCTTGTAGAGTCTTCCTAATGAAGAACTTTTTGATCTTTTGGAATGTTCTTTTTGTATCCTATCTTTCTTTATATAGAAATGGACAACTTCATGTTAAATGTATTAACAAGCATTCTAAATCTTTGTTATTCCTAACATGGAATAACTTTTTCTACATTTTATATGCCGATTGAGTCTTGTTTGATTTCTACAAATGTATACTCTTAGATTTATCAGGTAAAAAACTATTTCATCTTTAAATAACAATATTGTGCTGTGCCCTACTTCTATAACTTTGTTTGCTCTTTTTTGCCTAGTACTATTAAATATTATTATTGATTTCTAAAAATTATTTCAGTAGCAATTCTTCCATAGTTTTCTTACTAACTTCAATGTTGTATTTTGTGATACAGTGGATGTATTTTATCATGTAAAAAAACTATTCATTCATTCTTGTTTATTGAGAGTTTCAGTCGAAAGTTTTATTGATTGTTATAAATGACTTCACAGAATTTTTTCAGATATTTTAATTTAAAAATTAAAATAAATAGATATGGTATAAGATTGATAGCCTAATACTAATTCTGGGATCATTGCACTTTTAGACTAAACGTCATTGTGTCATGTAGTTTTATTATTGTTTTAATGTGATGAATTTTTTTTGTTAGAATTGTATTTAGGAATTTCTTCATTGATATGCAAATATGTTACTTTTGTGTTGACATCCTATGTAAGATTTGGGGAGCTCCAGTGACCCAGTTGGTTAGGGCACAGTACTTATATGTTAGATATGATATAAAACTTGCTCCATCAAATACCTAAATGATTTAATCCCTTTTTTTTTTCCCAAGTATTGGATAATGCTAAATGGCATAGAGTGAATTTGTCACTTAAAGTCTCTGTGAGATGTTCTTGTGAAAAAATTCTAACCTGGTTCTTTCTTGAAGAGAGAATCTCTTAGATAATTTTATTTACTCAATACGGTCATTTATTTTTTCAGTTTCAACTTCCTATATTCTGATTTAGTTTCGAAGTTTATATTTTTATGAAATCATCTATTTTATCCATGTTCACTAATTTACGTCATAAAGTGGAACAAAGAACTTTCAAACCTTTTTTATAATTTTTTCTATATCTGTGGCAACTTTCCACTTAACTACCTTTTTATTGTATACAATTTTCTTTTTTTCTATCTTGATTTAATTTCATCAACACTTTATATGTTTTCCTATTTTGTTATGTAAAGAAGGATTCTTGGTTTTATTCATTACTACAGTAATTTCATGGTTTTGAATTACTCAATTTTTGTTACTTTTATTGTATTTTATCACTCTTTGATTTATTTTGTGGTTTTAAAATTATTTTATATATTGGTTGTTCAATGATTTTATTTTCATTCTTTCATTTAACCTAACACAATTATTTTCTACTAGCATCTTTCTCTAGGAACTGTTTTAGTTCACTGACCTAGATTGTGATATAAGGAATTTTCATTGTAATTATTTGCCTGCATATAAACCTTGAAATTGATTTTCACTTTAATAAAAGCTTAAGAGGGAAAGATTGTTTCTCCCACCCAAATAGGTAATTATTAACTGTTGTCATTTTTTTAGATTAATTTTAGTATTATAATTTCTTATACTATGTTTTCTGTTCTATTTATGCTGGCTATAATTAGATTTTATATTTTTTCTTTAAAATATTCCATGAGTACTTGGAAAAAAGAATGTGTTTTATATGTCTAGAGTAACCTTCAAAATATGGGCATCATTAAATAAATGAATTATATGTGCCTTATTAACTATATTATTAGGTATAGGAACTTTGTTCCTCTTGTTTAATTATAGACTGATAAAGGTACATTAGAGTTTACTAATATATTGAGTTTGTTCTTTTTTCTTGTGCTTTGTATCTATTTTGCTTTATGAACCACATAATGATCTTTTTGTTTTAATATGTGATATGATATAGCAGAATATTTGATCATGTCTATCCCATTTTATTTTTTGTTTTATAGCATTTTTCCTTTCATTATATCATGTTTGTTATATTTTGTGTCAGTTTCCTGTCACTATTTGAGAGGTTACTATTTTATTTCATCTTCCTCTTTATCTATAATGTTATGGAATATATTTAGCCAACTATTTAGGCAGTGTCCACTGATTTTCTACTAGGTGTAATAATAAAAAATAAATATTTTCTAATGTTTTCTCCGTATCCTCATTCTATTTACTTTCACGTATTTATAAGTATCATTTTACTTTTGGGTATCAGAGTTTATTTTACACTTCTGCTAGAGTTTACTGAAAAATAATTTGCTGAAAAATAATTACCCATATATGTGCTATTTTATTAGCTTTAAATAATTTTTATGTGTGCGAAAAAAGAGGAAATAACATTACCTACCAAATTTTTCTTCTCCTTTCCTGACATCTCTCTCTATTTATATATTTTCCAGTTTAAAGGTTTATAGTAGTCACACGGTAATTTGTAAACCTAAGCTCAATATCAACTTACTCGTAGCCACACATTGCTCTCGCCATAGTTTCAGCATCATCTCAGGGTTGTCTGAAGTTCAACCTCAAATAGTGTGTTAAATAAAAGCTTATGAGCAATATGTCAGCAATATATTCCCTGAGTTATTGTAAATTCATAAAGATCTTGTACCTTTATATTTGAATGTATTTGGGTTTTGTATAAAGTCATTGAGCCATGTTTTCTTTTTCTTTCCCGGAGCACCCTGCAGGCATCGTCCAACTGTCTTTTAACAGTGAACATCCCTAGAGACAATGCTGAAACCATTTTCATTTTCCTCTGTGAGTTCATCTTCTTGTGTGTTTGTACAATAGTTTTTATTTTCTTTTATATTTAAAGCCTAGTACATTTATTAGGCTGTGTCTTACTGTGTGGGACTATTTATCTTTTTACTTTTCCTGATATTGAGTGTGACTCTATTCTCTGGATAATAAAATCTCTACTATTTAGTGAAGGTTTCCTCAAATTATATTTAAAAACATTTTTTCTTATATTATTTTGGTGATGTTCATCAAGGAAAACGTGATTTACCTACGGAAATCATGAGATATACACATATACATGTATATATACACACACATACAACTACATACATGTGTACATTTACTGTATGTATATACACATATACGTACATATACACGCATATATATATATACACACACACACAAACACACAAATGTACATATATATAAATCTAGTGAAGCAGTGGAATGTGGTGATTAAACATAAGACTCTAAAATGGACATGATTAAAATACAGACTTTGGCTCCACCATTTATACATTGTGAGACCTGGGAAAATCATTTAATTATTTAATTATCATTGTATCTCAGAGTTTTTCATCAGTAAAATGGGAATGATCATATTCTTAAAAGTTTTTTTTTTTTGTTTTTTGTTTTTTGTTTTGGGACAGAGTCCTGCTCTGTTGCCCAGGTTGGACTGCAATGGCGCGATCTCAGCTCACTGCAATCTCCGCCTCCCAGGTTCAGGCGATTCTCCTGCCTCAGCCTCCCGAGTAGCTGGGATTACAGATGTGAGCCCCTGCACCCGTCAGAGGTTGTTTTGACAATTAAAGTTTATATGGTTAGATTTGGTGGAGAGTAAAACATTCAGCTCATATTATTATTCATATAATAATTGCTATTATTATTGATACTTTCTAATACATTGCTAATTTTCATTTCAATTTGTTCAGTTTTCCTAATACTAGGCACTCCATTATTAACGGTTTTCTGCTCTATCGTTTATCTTTTCTTTATGTTGCTTCCAGTGTGTCATTCCTTTATGGATTTGCATTTTTAAAAATTTTTATTAAAAGTATTATATGTTGCATTGTATTATTATGCTCTTGTTTTGCAGTACCATACGTGATTTCTTGTGTTTTATTCTGACCTTTGTTTCATAAAAGCGATTTTTGTTATTAAAATCCTTTTAATTTTTTTCATCATTTTTATGTATTATTTTAAAAATAATAGTTTTAGCTATCTCTTTGGCAATTTTACTTGTAGTAATTTTGCATTAATTTCATTGCGGTTTTTAAAATTTAATTGAATTGGATTTCTCTGCCAGTATTTCCAACAGCTTTATTTTGGAAGGGCCTGAGTCATTTCCAAGATAATGAGATTTATTTTTATGAGAGGGTTGTGTGAGCGAGTTCTTTTGTCTCTTACTTTTCTCAGGCAACCGAAAGTACTGCTTCCAGTTCCGTCACTGCCCCATCCCAGTCACTGCCCCGAGCTCCATGACAAAATGCAGCTCTCATAAATATTGCTCATCTGTATGACTGAAAACCCAATCAAGTCCTAGAAAGCTCCTTCTGCTATCCCAGGGACCTACTTTCAGTGCATGTAAACAAAGTTGTATTAGTTTGCACCTTTGCTTGTACCCCTGTCTTTAAGAAATGTAAGCTGCTGCTCAGTGTAGCCTTGGGCCAGCTTATTGCATCTTCTTGGACACCTGTTTGACTCTCACTGCATTTGGGATTTCTTCCAATGAACTTGTGACATAAGGTTTCAGGTTCTTCCATAAGGTTTATCAAAGATGGAATTTACATTTTTATTTCTCATTCCTTCTAGAATTTTGGAGTAAATCCCGAGAAGAGATAAGGAAAAATACAAACAAGTTCACTCTGATAAAACCAGTTTTAAAATATACTTTTATTATTTTTCAAATAGTAAGCTACATGGGATGCTATTAAAATTGTATTTGTAGAGTATTTGACTTAAAATAATACTTTATTCTTCAAATTAAGAAGATAACAGATACATCATTCTATTTGGCATTACGAGAAAGAATTAGTAAAAGTCACAGGACAAGAAGAAAAACCAGAAATAATTTCGCACTGATTTATTATGTTTATATGTCCCCTTTTTCAGTTTAAAAGTAATGGTAATTTTAATGCATTCATTAATTTGTAGAAAATGAATTACAATAGATAGTCTATATTTATCAAAAATTAAATGTTTGTGTTTCAACTTGCAGGTCAAAATTATAGAGCACGGTTCTATGTTCCATATATCTTAGTGTATAAAATAACTCGAACATAAAAGCAACATTCCCCCTTTATTCTTTTCATATTCTTCTAATACCTTAATTAGAATTAATTAATTCTAATTGTATTCAGAATTACATTCTAAATAAAATGAATATAATAGTCCAAAAGATTAATTTTCTAAAATATGAATTAGTTATTTTGAAGTCAAATATTTCAAAATATAAAGATGTGGTTTTAAAAAAGACATATAGGTTGGGCATGGTGGCTCTCACCTCTAATCCGAGTACTTTGGAAGGCCAAGGTGGGTGGCCTCAGCCTTCCAGCCTGGCCATCAGGGTGAAAGCATGTCTCTACCAAAAATACAAAAATTAGCCAGGTGTGGTGGCATGCATCTGTAATCCAAGCTACTCAGGAGGCTGAGGCAAGAGGATCACTTGAACCTGTGGAGGCCAAGGTTGCAGTGAGCTGAAATCGTGCCACTGCACTTCAACCTGGGCTGTCTCAAAAAAAAAAAAAAAAATAAAATAAATAAATAAATAAATAAATAAAACAGACATGTAAATTATTAGTATGATACAGCTGGTGAAAAACTCATTTTATTTCCATGTGGTCTTGGATTTTTTGTTGTTTTTTTTCTTTTATGCAGTGTTGTTTTTTTTTTAAGTGATTTTTCTTTTTTTTTTTTTATTATACTTTGAGTTTTAGGGTACATGTGCACATTGTGCAGGTTAGTTACATATGTATACATGTGCCATGCTGGTGCGCTGCACCCACTAACTAGTCATCTAGCATTAGGTATATCTCCCAATGCTATCCCTCCCCCCTCCCCCCACCCCACCACAGTCCCCAGAGTGTGATATTCCCCTTCCTGTGTCCATGTGATCTCATTGTTCAATTCCCACCTATGAGTGAGAATATGCGGTGTTTGGTTTTTTGTTCTTGCGATAGTTTACTGAGAATGATGATTTCCAATTTCATCCATGTCCCTGCAAAGGACATGAACTCATCATTTTTTATGGCTGCATAGTATTCCATGGTGTATATGTGCCACATTTTCTTAATCCAGTCTATCATTGTTGGACATTTGGGTTGGTTCAAAGTCTTTGCTATTGTGAATAATGCCACAATAAACATATGTGTGCATGTGTCTTTATAGCAGCAAGATTTATAGTCCTTTGGGTATATACCCAGTAATGGGATGGCTGGGTCAAATGGTATTTCTAGTTCTAGATCCCTGAGGAATTGCCACACTGACTTCCACAATGGTTGAACTAGTTTACAGTCCCACTAACAGTATAAAAGTGTTCCTATTTCTCCACATCCTCTCCAGCACCTGTTGTTTCCTGACTTTTTAATGATTGCCATTCTAACTGGTGTGAGATGGTATCTCATTGTGGTTTTGATTTGCATTTCTCTGATGGCCAGTGATGATGAGCATTTTTTCATGTGTTTTTTGGCTGCATAAATGTCTTCTTTTGAGAAGTGTCTGTTCATGTCCTTCGCCCACTTTTTGATGGGGTTGTTTTTCTTGTAAATTTGTTTGAGTTCATTGTAGATTCTGGATATTAGCCCTTTGTCAGATGAGTAGGTTGTGAAAATTTTCTCCCAAATCATGAGTGAACTCCCATTCACAATTGCTTCAAAGAGAATAAAATACCTAGGAATCCAACTTACAAGGGATGTGAAGGACCTCTTCAAGGAGAACTACAAACCACTGCTCAAGGAAATAAAAGAGGATACAAACAAATGGAAGAACATTCCATGCTCATGGGTAGGAAGAATCAATATCATGAAAATGGCCATGCTGCCCAAGGTAACTTACAGATTCAATGCCATCCCCATCAAGCTACCAATGACTTTCTTCACAGAATTGGAAAAACCTACTTTAAAGTTCATATGGAACCAAAAAAGAGCCCGCATCGCCAAGGCAATCCTAAGCCAAAAGAACAAAGCTGGAGGCATCACACTACCTGACTTCAAACTATACTACAAGGCTACAGTAACCAAAACAGGATGGTACTGGTACCAAAACAGAGATATAGATCAATGGAACAGAACAGAGCCCTCAGAAATAATGCCGCATATCTACAACTATCTGATCTTTGACAAACCTGAGAAAAACAAGCAATGAGGAAAGGATTCCCTATTTAATAAATTATGCAGTGTTGTTTTAATGCAAGTGTTTGAGAATATTGATTTATAGCTACTAGCAAGATGTACATGTATAACTCACGTATGTGATCAATGTCACTTACTCATTACAATGAAGCAACAATAAATCTTACAGGAAATGCTGGAGAGTAATATATATATTAAAGACACTCATCAATAAAAGTCACAAAATTTCTGCATTTAGCAAAATATTTGTTAAACAACATTAAAAGAAAATTTGATCATATGTGAAGAACCGCATAATTTTCAAATTATGTATCTTCTGCAACCATATGAAAGAAAATACTATATAGAAAGAATATCAAAGGCAAGAAAACTTGAAAAAATATTTAAACACATTTCTCTAGCATAAATCTTGTTATGAATTGTAATAAGATTTTCAGCCTCCTACTTGTAGGGATATTTCATCTGTCAATACCTTAAACTTAAATTAAAAACATTGAAATATGAGGGCACATTATTTTGTTTAGAACTTTTATAATATCTTGGACATGCTAACTTATAAAACTGGAAAAAAATATGAACTTAAGAGTTTAGTTAGCAAATATAATTTAATGATTTTTTCATGCTAAATGTTTAATATATTTTGCAATGTGTGAAATTGAAAGTCTTTATTTAGAAAAATATATTTTTAGAATACTTTATATTTTGTTTATATTCAAGACACATGTATTCATGATCTAAAATATATGAGGCACCATGACACCAGTGAGAATTGAAAGACAAAACAAATACCTGATATTTTTGTTAAACAATAAAATATGTTGTTAGTAATTCCTAATTTCAATGTCCTTTTCAATTGAGATATCACTCACCTGCAGTGAACTGCACTCATCTTAAATACACATTTTAATGCATTTCTACCTGTACTTTCACCCATGAAATCATCTTCCAAATTAGGATGTAGAATTTCTTCAGCATCAGAGAACCCTCCTCCTTGCCCTGTTTAACAATCAATATCATACACATGCAACTTCTATTTTGTTCTCTGTCAACCACAAATTAATTTTCCCTGATTGTGAACTTGCTCCCACTCTTGCCAACACACTTGATAAAAGTATAGTGAAGGTATATGAGTGTGCTATGGCTTAGTTACCATTACTCAACAAGTCACACATTGCTATCCCTTGCCTCATCACATCCCACTGTGGGAACTGGTGTTACCTCAGTCCCTTGAGGCTTTTGCCAAATGAAACAGGAGGTTGAAATTTTACAACTCTCCCTGACAAATCCTTCAGGTACTTTCAAGAAATTTGTTTTGCTGTCATAGCTTCTGATACTTTCTCTTCATTTTCTTTTTCCAGTTTGAGCTTAGACACTAAACAGAATTTATATTGAGTTTATACACTAAATAGAATATAACTTTTTGTGATTGTATTACTGTCTTAAGAGGGATACGTAATAAGTATTTGTGGCTAGTCTGTCATGTTTATTGGAAAATTTACAATGTTGTTAAACATTATTCATCATATATATGGAGGTATAATGAACGTAGAGTAAAATTTCACCTTTCTAGAGTAAAAATTCTGAGTTTTTACACTCATATATTGCTGTGAAACCACTATTACAGTCAAGGTACAGAACATTCTTAACCCCAAATTATCTCTTGCACCAACTTATAGCTAAACATACCCCAACTCCCAATCCTTGGCAACCTCTCATTAATTTATAAATTTACTTTGTTCAGAATGTGATATAAATGTAATCACAGTCTTCTGGTTTGCACCATTTTTAATGAGAACATTTGGAATGTTTCCAACACAAAGAAATGACAAATGTTTGAGGAGTTTTTAATTCTTATCGCTATTCCTCTGATTGTAATGTGTCCTTATTCTATTACCAGTTTTATGATTTTTTCATTATTTTTGGGTTTACATAAACTTGAATATGATGCATATAGGTGTTTTCTATTTGTTTATTGTTTGTTTATTGCTCTTTGTCCTGCTTGGGAATCAATACATATAGTTAATGTTGAAGCTTACTGGTATTTTTGGACAATTATTGGTCATTCAGTTTTTTAAAATTTTTATTTTAGAAACTTTTATTTTATTTGTATTTTTTTTAATTTGAGACGTAACATTCTATGTTTTTATCATATACGACATGATGTTTTAAAGCATACATACATTGTGGATGATTAAATCTAGTTCATTAACAAATTCGTTACTTCATATAGTCATCATTTTTGTGATAACACTCAACATCCACTGTCTTTATATTTTTCAAGAATACAATATGTCATTAACTATAGTCACCTTGCCATAAAATAGATTTGTTGAAATTTATTTCTCCCATTTTATCATTCAATCTTTAAATATTTGTTCTCTCTTTTTATTTCTCACCTTCTCCTTCTGGAATTTGCACATGTTACAGAGTTTGATATTTTCATCCAAATATTTGATTGACTGTTTCTTTTAAAATTATTTTAAAAAATTTCT
Organism: Homo sapiens; assembly: GCF_000001405.40. Taxonomy (NCBI): domain Eukaryota; kingdom Metazoa; phylum Chordata; class Mammalia; order Primates; family Hominidae; genus Homo; species Homo sapiens. The sequence goes on from NC_000007.14 coordinate 85,660,867, forward strand.
CCATGTGTTTTAAATTGTGTGATTAATACTGACTAATCTTCAAGGTAACTGTTTTTTCCCTTGGCTATCTTTAGTGTACCTATGAGTCTGTCGAAAATATTCATCATCTCCTATTGGGTATACTATTTTCTAGTACAGACAGTCCTTGACTTACAATAATTTGACTTTCATTTTTTTTGACTTTATGATGGTGCAAAAGCAATATGCATTCAGTAGAAACCATACTTCAGATTCTGAATTTTGATCTTTTCTAGGCTAGCAATATGCAGTATGGTAATCACTCGATTCTGGGCAGCGGCAGCAAGCTGTGGCTCACAGTCAGTCATAAGATCATGATAGTAAACATCCAATATAAAGTACAATATCTCCCTGAAGTACGCCATCTCTGCTAACTCATCAACTATGATGCCTCAGTGCCTTCTATCAGCTCTTCTGAAGCCTCATCAGAAAAGAGAGAAATTGATGACCCTGCATCTGTAGCATCCCCATCATCCAGCAATTAATTTTAGTTTAACACTTAAAATGTTATTCAGGCCCAGTGTGCTTTCAGCTGTGTTTGTTAATAGTGAGTACACATGTAACCATTCTGTTTTTCACTTTCAGTACAGTATTCAATAAAATACATGAGATAGTCAGCACTTTATTATAAAATAGGCTTGTGTTAAATGATTTTGCCCAACTGTAAGTGAATGTACATGTTCTGAGTACATTTAGAAAGCCTAGGCTAAGTTATGGTGGGTTTTCTGGTATCCATTGAAAGGTGAGGAGCATCTGTGCTTCCATTTGATCCAATTTCATACATATCAGCTTCTTGCTGAAATCCTGCCATCAGTTTATGCAGGTTGTCTACATTTTTACTAGGTTTTTAATCCTATTATTGATTGTTATTTTCAATTCCGTGCCTTATAGTAACAATATTTAGCTTCTCTCTGAGTTTTATCTATTGAATGCATTATATCTTGAAAGTGGGTTGATTTTTCTTTCTTTTATCAGTGACTCATAAACTTTGATTGTATGCCAGACATGTATAGGGTATATTTGAGATAGAAATAAACATATTTGTGCTTAGAACTGGGAGTGCCTCTTTCTTTTTCTTATTTTTTATTATTATACTTTAAGTTCTAAGGTACATGTGCACAACGTGTAGGTTTGTTACATATGTATACATGTGCCATGTTGGTGTGATGCGCCCATTAACTCGTCATTTACATTAGATATATCTCCTAATGCTATCCCTCTCCCCTCCCACGACAGGCCCGGTGTGTGATGTTCCCCACCCTGTGTCCAAGTGTTCTCATTGTTCAATTCCCACCTATGAGTGAGAACATGCAGTGTTTGGTTTTCTGTCCTTGCGATAGTTTGCTCAGAATGATGGTTTCCAGCTTCATCTATGTCCCTACAAAGAACATGAACTCATCCTTTTTTATGGCTGCACAGTATTCCATGGTGTATATGTGCCACATATTCTTAGTCCAGTCTATCATTGATGGACATTTGGGTTGGTTTCAAGTCTTTACTATTGTGAATAGTTTCTCCTAGGTCAGTGGTTTATGCCATTCTAGTTAGAAGTTGAGATAACTTTAAATTTATTTTATTTTATTTTTTATTGCCATCTTCAAAGCACCTTTGAGTTCAAATTATTGCAGTCTTACTCTAAACTGATTGCTTGAGGGGTTTTTTAAATCATTGTTCTGCTCCATTCTCTACTCTCAGTTTCCTTTGTATGCTTATGTCTCAGAGAAAGTCTGTTTTGAAGATTTTTCTCCTCCCCTGCCATATGTTACTTGCTACTTACTAATCTGGTGGTGCTGTGAAAGAAGGAGTTGTGGCTGTCTGTTGCCTTAATCCACCCTAAGTCTTAGGCAAATATTGTGCCTCTGGATATCAGGGGTTCAATATTTTCCATAATCATGTCCCCCTTCTCCATGGGAGAAAAATTCTGCCTTAAAATATGTACAATAGGGAGTTTCCTTCTATTTTCCTAGTGGTAGGAGACCTCTATTGGCATTGTTTCCTGCCTCTGTCCTAGGGGTAGAGGTTTTTTCTCTCTTCCCTTCTAACAGTTGCATCAGGTCTTCACCCGTGCCTTGGGAGTGACAGAGTTTTCCGATTTTCTCTAGAAACACAAAGCTTTTGCTCCTCAGAGTGAGATTCTATGTGGGGCTTTATGCTTTTCCTACAGCTGTGGCTTCAAATGAATCAGGCTTTTTCTAATGCCTTATCATATGATTGTAAGAAGAATGAAAATAACATATTTACCCAAAAACATCTCAAAGGAACACATGGTAGTATGTCAGATAGTTTGTACACAAGAAACTAGCTCCATGGCCTTAAATTTTTGTTTCAATATGGCTGTCTTGCTTAATGCAGTGAAAATCATTTCAAAGGAAGGGAAATCAGAAGAATCTATCCACTATTTTTAGGAATTTTCCCATCAAGCACAGTCAACAGATACACTGAAAAGACAAATAATATATATATTCCTTAAAAGGAATAAGATCTAGTCTTAACAATAATCTATTGTGTATTTCAAAATATCTAGAAAAGAAGTATTTGAATGTTCGCAGCACAAAGAAAAGGTAAATGTTTGAGGTGATGGATTATTTTGTTAAACTATTTAATCATCATGCATTTTATAAACACACCAAAATATCACATGCACCTCAACAATATGTTCATATATTATGTATTAGTACAAAAATAGTATTTCATAAAATCACACACAGATTAGGTAAGTAAGACTTATCATTGGGATAGATTGGATTCTTAGTGTTCAGAGAGAGAGAGAGAGAATATGAACATTTTAAGTATAAGATAAAGTAAAAGTAGCATTAAAGGCATAAAGCACTTTTAGAGTGTTACAGATTCCAACATAGGTGAATATCAAATATGGTAAATAAATAATGAGAAGTAGTGCTTGGAAGAAAAGTTGTGGACCAAATCATTCAGGACTTTTGTTTCACAGACAAATTATATCACTTTGCTATGTATCAAAACTGTTTGGAACAAACAGTCGAGGTGTTCTCTATACATAGAAAATGCTGCTTTGCATCATATTGTCTTACTACCTTGATTTCAGCTGATCAAAACACAAATTAACAGCAATCTCCAAAGCAAGGTATTTACAGGCTCTTGGCTTTGATATGGCTTGGCCTGAGAGAACTGTCAAGCTTGTGTACTCTAAACTGTACGATGTCTGAAAATCTTGATCAATATCTCTCTGATATTTCTAATGTTAATATTCAGATAGAGAAAAAAGACCACAGTGTGGGGGAAGCATGCATGATATAGAGAAGATAGTGAACAGAATCAATGAGATGCAAAATAATTAAGAAAATATAATCTGTATGGTAGAAAGAAAAGGAGATCAAATCAGTAGAGAGTGACTGGAAAACCAGGAACAAGTGAGAGATAAAATGAGAAGGCATAGACCCTAGACTGAAGGAAAACAGATACTTTATTCTAATGTGATAATTATGTTACTTTTGAGTCAACATAACTATAACTGGTGTATAGAGCTACTATTGATATCTTGAAGTCCATTAAATTTCCATCTGGGCTGGCAGCATAATGCCTGATATTATTTTGGAGTTTCTTTTCCTATTAAAGCAAATTTTATTGTGGGGGGTTCCAAATCCATACTGAAAGCTTTCTTTTTACTGCATCACATGATAGAGAATGGAAAGCGAAATACCGTACTCACTTTTCCAGTCTTACAGCCAGTGAGGACAACAAAGCTTTGTTTTAATCTCTGAATTATAAGTGGAAATATGCTGCAAGGGCTTCTGGATGTTTTTTGTAGTTTAGATGAAAATAGCAAAATGCATCTGGAGAACATTTGCTACCTACTTTGTGCCATTAAGACAGAATTTTTGACATTACAATGGCCATCTTGGGCCCATAGAACTGTAAGCCAATATGCTAAGAATTGTAGAGCTGAAATGCAGATGAAAGCTGACTCTTTAATATTGTTGAGCTACTGAAACAATCATGAAATTTCTGCACTTTGACTTTTTAAAAAAATTAGTGTTGAAGAAATAAAATATTATTCAAATCCAAATTCTAAATTCAATGATTCGTACTTCTAAAAAGAGTTGGAAATATAGATATTTCAGATAAATAAAAGCTAAGACATTATGTTACCAGTAAATCGCACTACAAAAAAAAGCTAAATAATGTTTTTTTTTTTTTTTCAGAATGAAGGAAAGTGATACTGGATAGATTCAAATTCAAAGAGAGATTGAGAGCACTAGAAATGGTAAATAATTGGACACATATAAAATTTGTGTGTAATTCATAGCAATATTTCTTTAAAAGGCAAGTAACTGTTTAAATAAAGAATAATAACATGGTAAGACAGAATTTTTGACATAGATACAAATAAAAATTATGACTAAAATAAAAATAATAGTGGTTAGGTAAATGAAATTACATAACTTTATAATACTTAAATGGGAAATATGAAATGTGAAGTAATAAAATATTTCATTTAAATAAACTTTGATAATTCATGCATGCAAATCTTATCCAAAGCTACCAATCAATGTAATTAACAATTAACTTTCTAAAAATTAACTATAGTTGTATAGGCTGGAAACAAACAACTATATTTTAAATGGCATTAAAATATTTAAACTACTGAAGAATAAACATTTTAAAATGTGTCTAAAACCTGTATTTTGAAAACACAAAATATTTCTAAGAGGAATTTAGGAACCCTAAATAGATTATGATGTATACTAAGTTCATGAATAGAAAAAAAATTATTATTAAAGTAGCAAATTTCCCCCAATTGATCTATAGATTAAAATATCAAGGAAGTTGTTTTTCCTTTTTTGTACATACTGACACGCTAATTATATTATTTATATGGAAACTAAAGAACTTAGAAAGTCAAAACAGTATTTAAAAAGAAAATTTAATTGGAAGACTGACACTATCATCTTTGAAGACTACTATAAAGCTATAGTAATCAGGAGACTGCAGTATGTTAAAAATATGGACACATAGGTAAATGATACAGAATAGAGGTTAGGACTAGACTGGTATACATATGGGCCACTAATTTTTCAAGAAAGGTGCCAAGATAATTCAATAGAGAAAGAATAGTTTTTCCACCGAATGTTCCTGAAACGAGGTATCTGTATGTAAAATGTAAACATTGACCACTTATGTAATATTATAATTCAAAATTAAAAATGAATAGTATCCAAAAATATGAAAGTTAAAACCATAAAAAATAATTTTATGAGTAAACATTTAATAAACTTGAAGTAGACAAAGATTTATTGGAGAGAACACAAAAAGCACTAGCAACAGGTGAATTCATAAGGTGGACTTAGTGACAAAGTATTTCCTTTTGAAAAGCGGCTGATACTGTAGGATAAATCTGTTTGAAACATAAATCTGTTAAAGAGCTTATATCTAGGATACATATAGATACTTTAACAAATACATAATAAAGAGGCAAACTTTTTTATAAGTGGACAAATGTCTCCAACAGACACTTTGTAAAATAAGATATATAGATTGCCAGCAAGATCAAGGAGAGGTGTTCAGCATAAAACAAGAGCTTAAAACTAAGACTACAATGAGAAATCATTTCACATTCACTAGAATTGCAAAAAATTAAAACCAGTCACACAAGGTATTGGCCAGAATATAAACTATTTGAACTTTCATACATAATTAAAGAATGACTTCAAAATATATTTTGTCATTTCCTGTAAAACCCTAAAATTTTTTGGTATTTTTCCAAGATAAATAAAATCATGTCCAATGTTTTATATGTTCACCAATGACATATACAAATAGTTTTATTTGTAATAGTATCAAACTAAAAGAACACAAATGTATATAAACATGTAAGTGGAAAACAAACTACTTTATCAGAGAAAAGGAACACTTTTTTGCTACATTCTACAACATCCATGTCTTTCAAACATTGTGATGAGCAAAAGAAGCCAGAGACAAAATAAAAAAAAAAAAAACATACTGTATAATCTCTTTTATATGAAATCCTGGGAAATATAAAAATAAGTTACTATGATAGAAATCAGGTTAGTTGTTGCCTGGCGTCAGGGTACGGGTGAGAATTTATTGAAAGAGGGGCATGAAGGAACTTTCTGCAGTGAGGGATGTCTTTACTATCTTAATTGTGGTAATAGTTTAAAGGTGTTTACAGTTGCCATAACATTAAACTATGCAATTAAAATGTGGGCATATTAATTATGCAAATTATACCTCAAAGAATTTATCCAAAATATTATAATCAGAAAGATAATTTGTTAATGATGTTTATATGTAGTGACGGTTAGGAAGTAGGGGTTAGACAGATTGAAGGCTGGTAGATCGATTAAGAGAGTATTGTCATAGCCTATACAAGAGGTATGGAAAACTTGTCAAGGAAAGCATAAATAAAACACTCCCAGCACTTTAGGAGGCCAAGGCAGGCAGATCCCCTGAGGTCAGGAGTTCAAGATTAGCCTGGACGATATGGTGAAACCCTGTCTCTACTAAAAACACAAAAATTAGCCGGGCGTGGTAGCATGCCTCTAATCCCAGCTACTTGGGAGTCTGGGGCAGGAGAATCACTTGAACCTGGGAGGTGGAGGTGGAGGTGAGCTGAGATCGTTCCTCTGTCTCAAAACAAAACAAAACAAAACAAAACAAAATAACAACAACAACAACTTACAAAGGGAAATATAATAAAATAATTGAGGAATTTAGTACTTTGCTTTTGTTGGACTTCTGAACTTGTAGAGTCAAATCTTTGAAATACGTAGCCACTATATTTTCTTGTTTGAAGTTATTATAATAATAGTATACTTTATGCTATAGAATGTTTGTGTCCCATGAATTAAGAGACTGAAGCTTATCCCCAGTATGACAGCGTTTGAAGGTGGAGCATTTGGGAGGTAATTAGGTCATGAAAATAGAGCCCTTATGAATGGGATTTGTGCTCTTACCAGAAAAGACAAAAGAGACTATCTCTCTGTTCGTGCCATGTGAGGACACAGCAAGAAAATGTCTCTAAACCAGGAAGACAGCCCTCCCTAGACACTGGATATACTAGTCCCTTGACCTTTGACTACTTAATCCCTTAACTGTGAAAATTAATATTTGTTATTTAAACCACTCAGTCTATTGTGCTCTGTTAGAACAGTCTGAACTAAGACACTTCACAGAAGATTTGTTAATCAACAAAATAATAGCCACAGTTTACTCCATGGCTACACTGGAGCAAACCTAGAATATGAACTACATATTTACCAGTCTATGCTACTTGTACAGCTGTTTTCTTGTTATAAGTGGGTAGTAATATATGCTAACACAAACAAAAATATTTCTGAAGTATTCACTCAACATGTCCAAATACTCTGTCAAAAACTATCACACTTGCATTGAAAGTCCTGTGGATCCTTGGCTTACCTGTAATGCTTGGGGAGATTTATTTGAAAAAAATTGACAAATATAGCGGAAGTACATATAAATCCTTCATTTGGAAATTTTTCAGCAATAACCTTTGCAGCAGTAATGAACTATCATGTTCATGCCCTATTAAAGGCATTTAGACTTCAATATATTAAATAGTGGATTTTAATTGTACTAAGAAAAACTAGACTACAAACCTGGTTTTGCAGAATTAAGACTTTTTTTCATATTGCAAACATTTTATAGGAAATACTCTGATTCTTTTCTTACTTTGCCTAATTTACATGCTCTTTCAGTAAAAATGAAACTCTGTTACAGAAAGAAACAGCTGGAATTTTTCTGTAAGGTGAAATAGAAGTATTTTGACAAGATTGCCACGAATTAAGGTGAACTGTGCAGTGAAGGCAGAAGTAGCCAACACAAAGGAGATGAATATTCTGAGAAAAGGAAAAAGAGTCTTATAGAAAGAGGTTAAGGGTTAAATACCATAGTATTTGAATGTTGGCCAAACAATACTCTGTAGTTTATATTTTAGTTCAAGTTCTGAGGTGTAACCCTTTCCTTTTGCCAAGAAAAAATGATAATAATAAATAGGTTGTGTTAATATATATTTAAAGTGAGGAATTTAGAGGAAAGAGATACTTGAATTTTAGAAAGACAGGAGGAGATACTGGGACATGGAACAGTCTATGCTCTTGCAAGACTTTAGCGAAGATGCTATCTTTAGGGAAAAGTTCACTTAATGAACAATCCTTTTTCTGTTTTTAGTACTTTCTAAGTCATTAACATTTGCATTTTTAGGCAGCAAGTCTTAGAAGATCACAGTTATAAGTTATAATCACCCAGCCTCTAGAATCATGAGAATAAATACTGTACTCTAGAATCATGAGAATAAATAGTCTAAAGCAGTTTCTAAATCTCAGGATGAGAAAATTTATCATCAGAAAGTTAGGGATGTTTCTAATTTAATTTAATCTTTCCTTATGTCTTTTATAAAAATGCATAATTGCACAACTTAGTCATCCACAGAATTTTAATTTGTGTATATCTATAAGTTTACTTTTTGTATGTGCGTTTTTTTCCAGAAAGCTGTGGGTTACATAAAATTCTTTTGTTTAAATTATGACAAATCACAGGACCGTCTCTGAATTCCTAGACTAGTTTTGACACCTCACACTGGGCATTTTATTAGTATCATCTGCTACTCTATTATTGCCTTTGTCATATCACAATATGATCTCTGGTTTGTCTATACCCGACTATTGTAGGTTCAATGAAGGCAGAGGCAAATTTTCAAGCACAGTGCTTGGAACAGAAATATGTGTTCAGTATATATTATTAAATGAGTTTTTAAATTGAGCACATTGAAAACCAAAGGTCTTCAGTTGACAACATTTTAAATAAATATACATAACGCCCTTTAATTAACAATAGTGAAGTAATAAAAGATATAACATATTTGAGCGATAAGTTAAACTGTCTTCTAATTTTTAGCTCCTTCTTTCCTACTATGTGCACCTGGTCTGACATCAACGGTTTTCCTTAAGTCTCCTTAATAAAAAGGACACTGTTATACTAGCCGCATCACTGACTTTTACATGCTTTCAACATAATCCAACCCAGAAAATTGTTTTGTGAACAATTTAGAATACAATAAAAGGATTTCCTGATAACATTCTAGTTATAGGAATTGTACTGTTACCTAATGAGAAGCCAGAAAGTAAAACAGTTTTGATGAATTATATATTTTCACCCCTTTCTATTGCTTACAAAAAAATCCCTGAGCTTTAAATAAGCTCAAAGGGACATGACAGATTTAAAATAATATTCTAGTACTAAGCAGTTTTTCCTCAATGTCCTCCAGGTAATTAGAGAACCTTTGATTTTTCCCTGGTTGTTTCCCCTGTTTTAAGAAAAAATTAATCATTGACTAATTTGAAAATGTATTTTGTAAATGTGATTTATTTTCTGATGGCACTAAAATACATATTTCCGAAAGGGATCTCCAGTGTTCTGTTCATGTTTTCAGATATGAAGAAACTTAGACAGAAAAGTAAACTTATCTGAGCTAGCAAGGAGACTGAAAACCTGGCTCTGCAGCCAGCCTGCCTGAGTTGGTGTCTGGGTCAGCACTGAGAAGCTTTTTTACATAAGGCAACTGATTGAAACTCTTTTCATTGTTGTAAAATGTGGATATTAGTGAAGCCTAAACCATAGAATCATTGAGAGGATTAAATAAACAAATGTGAAACACTTAGAAAAAGTAGAGGATAGAAAACAGAGACAAAAACTAATTTTCATGATTGATCTAAACTACAACGTGGTAAATAATAAATGTCTACTATTTTTTATTTTAAAATCTGAAATCAGTTACTGTTAATTAGTCCAAAAGAGAATATTTAACTAGATGCAGGTTTTATTAGATAGCAGTTCCAATAAGTGGTGTCAGTATAAAATGTTAAATAGATTAATTAATCTACTAAGTAGTTATCTCTTTTGAATGAATACATTTTCTTAGTAGCATACAACTAAAATTAGCCATTCCATTTCCTGTATTTAACATTTTATTTTTGTTTAGGAAGATTTTCTCACAATTAAATGTTTAAGGAATACACGGTTAAAAACTGGCCAATCTTCTTCATTAACAGGCAAAAACATAGAGTACCATTTATTGTTCACTTGGCCATATAATTTGGGCAATACGCTTTCTTCAAATCCCCAACTACTCCCCTTAAATTCCATCAACTGTTCAACAGAGCACAGTTTTTTCTCCTTTTTCAGAAAGACATGTCTGTCACAAGCCCATTCTCGTTCCTAAACACTGTCAAGAAATGTGAAGGATCTGGAATTTTCCCTATTTACAAAATGGTAAGTTAACTTGCCACAGTTTCACGCAAACTGACAAAAGACAGAAACTCTCAGATTAGAGATGTCTTTATTATTCATAGGGAAAACAGCATTCAAACTGCCAAAATACTTATGCAGTTTCTCTGACCACCAATTTCCCCAGGACCACATGAAGGGTCAGATGATACCTGTGCATACTGTAGGTTGTTTTGGGGGGCCAAAGACCTAGTACATTTTTTTTCTTTTTGCAAGTAGCAAACATTGTGGCAAACAACAAACTAACCAGCTTCCCCACCTTTTGGAGCAAAGTTTACTAAACTCACTCTGTGGTCTCCATAACCTATTTAGTTGCCCATGTGACTAGCTACAAGAACTTCTCAGAATCAGGACAAGCTTTGTAATGTGGTACATTCAGCAAATACAAGCAGAGATATTAAGGGATTTGGGGTGGTAGATTGTTTCTTCCAATACACACCACAAAAATAATAAAACTAAACCAACAAAATTAGGACTAAACAGTAAATTTAGAAACGAAATTTACTTAATCTTGCAGATGACATGATTGTATATTTAGAAAACCACATCATCTCAGCTCAAAATCTCCTTAAGCTGATAAGCAACTTCGGCAAAGTCTCAGGATACAAAATCAATGCTTGTGCAAAAATCACAAGCATTCCTATACACCAATAACAGACAAACAGAGAGCCAAGTCATGAGTGAACTCCTATTCACAATTGCTACAAAGAGAATAAGATATCTAAGAATCCAACTTACAAGGGATGTGAAGGACCCCAACATCATCAACAGCTGGAAATTAGATTACAAAGCCAAAATAAAAACCCATCATCACCTTTTCTTTTTTAATTTAATTTTTGTCCCTCTCTTATCCCCCTTTTGACCTTGGCAGAGTCTCAAATTGTGATATCTATAGCGATAGCTGCTGGCAGGGAGTAAACAGAGAGAGAGAAAGGAACATCCCAGCCTCTTTATAATCTGCATATTCTGCTTGTTTCTGACATTAGTTATAAAAAAAGAAGCGTTATATTTGGAAGACTAAGATATCAATAGATAAATGAAACTGGACAGTTTTATTGCCAAGTGAAGCAGTACTTACAGCATAAAGGTGAGAGGTGAAGCCACCTGGACTTCCTGGGTCCAGTGGGGACTTGGAGAACTTTTCTGTCTAGCTAAAGGATAATAAATGCACCAATCAGCACTCTGTGTCTAGCTAAAGGATTGTAAATGCACCAATCAGCACTCTGTAAAAACACACCAATCAGCACTCTGTGTCTAGCTAAAGGATTGTAAACGCACCAATCAGCACTCTGTAAAATGGACCAATCAGCGCTCTGTGAAATGGACCATTCAGCAGGACGTGGGCAGGGCCAAATAAGGGAATAAAATCTGGCCACCTGATCCAGCAGTGGCAACCCACTCGGGTCCCTTTCCATGCTGTGGAAGCTTTGTTCTTTCGCTCTTCACAATAAATCTTGCTGCTGCTCACTCTTTGGGTCCACACCACCTTTAAGACCTGTAACACTCATGGCGAGGGTCTGCAGCTTCATTCCTGAAGTCAGCAAGACCACGAATCCACCAGGAGGAACAACCAACTCCTGATGTGCCAATTTTAAGAGCTGTAACAGTCATGGCGAAGGTCTGTGGCTTCATTCCTGAAGTCAGCGAGACCATGAACCTACCAGAAGGAAGAAACTCCGGACACATCTGAACATCTGAAGGAACAAACTCTTGGACACACCATCTTTAAGAACTGTAACACTCACTGTGAAGGTCTGCAGCTTCACTCCTGAAGTCAGCGAGACCAAGAACCCACCAGAAGGAACCAATTCCAGACACATGTTGGCAACCCAGATGGGACACAAAGGGATGGTACTTTTCTTGCTATCCGAGAGTGAAAAGTAAAGTAACAGGACTTACCAACATAAGTTTGGATCTAGCTCTCTTTTAATGTGGCTAAAAATCTTCTAGCTACCACAAATTATATTAGTTATGTTAAGTCAATTCCCATTTTTTAAATTTTTGTTACTGTGCCTGTTTAATGACCTCTGAATAGTTAAGATAAATTTAATATTCTTAATCCATAAATATATCAGATATGAAGGGAATGATCAAAATCACATACATTTGGGTTACACAACCCAAATCAAAGTCATTTGTTAACTTGAAACCATAACTATCTAGAATTTTGGTACATGCTGGGTCCTTAGAGTTTATATGGATTAATTATTTTGCAGGACAAGTTGAAGCTCAATAATGCATTGATTTGCACAAGGCCATACAGTCAATTAATGGAGAGTTGGTCTAGAGACAAGAGTCATGACACCCAATCTAATTACCTTTTCATTGTAGCATGACTCATGTCAAGTATTTCAACCTAATTCATGTAACAACAGAAAAACCAGAAATAAACAAAACTTAAAAAAACTCAAGATAGTTGTCAAAATAATTAATTGTTGAAATAACATATCTTTGAATATTGCATGTAAATCTTGTCTTTATCTGGCAAGAATTTATAATTTCCCACTTCTATTGTTTTCTTTTCTTTGCAACAGGTCACTGTCAGGGTAATGATATTTTGGAAAATAACAGTTAGGTTTGAATTTAGTTAGTGAGTTACCTATGCCCATTTTCATCAATACTCTGTGTCACCAGACAACTGGGGAGCAAAACAGCTTATAAAATCCCACTTTTGATCTGCCAAATGACAGGTAGAGATCCAAATTTAAGAGGAAAATATTTGTGGTGTATTTTTTGACTTTTGAAACTAATATATTTGGAGAATGTTTTAAAAATAAAATCCAAGTGCGGGGAGATACTCAAAAGTATTACAATCTGCCCCAGGACCAATAAATTCCACATTGCTTACTTCAGATGACTAAGCCTTTGCAAAATAGAACTGGAGAAAGATAATTCACCACTCAGAAGTCCAGAAGTCCAGAAGTCCACACACCCAGATTTCACTTTCATACACTACCTGGTGTTGCTAGCCTAAAGTTATACAACGTCCTATCAAGTGTTCTCTAAACAACTTTTAACTGAGGCAGTTTACAATGCTCATTTGGCTTAGTTTCTATCTTAATGGAAATAAAAAAATTAAAAAAATTCAATTAAAATAATATCAATACAATAAAATCTTTTGGTTAACAAGTCTATAATGAAAAATGTCCACCTGCCTAACTGACTTTGTGTCTTTTGACTCCTCTTCTTTGCAATCAATAACAGTACTTTAGCTATTTTTCCCTGTTTACTTTCACATTTCAAGTTACAAAGCTTATATTATTTTTAATATACCCACTTTATATATTTTTCATTTTATGATAGATAACTATACTGAAATCTTATATCATCCTGCAGCTTATTTTTCTCACTTCACCATTGTAATTCTTTCCATCAAAAATTTACTAAAGTATTTCCCAGATATATACATTGAGCCAATATTAAGATCATCTTTAGATTACATTTGAGTTCCATATATATTTATTCAATACATGATTATCTAAGTAAATAATATATATTTTACATGCATATGTGTATGTGTGTGTTGAGAGACAAAGAGACAGAGACAGAGAGACAGGGAGCAACATATAAATTTAAAGTTAGATAATTTATATAAATATGACTATGCAAACCCTTCACTCGTGGTTCAAGTCACTCTCTCTACAATTTTTGGACTTCGTTTGAGATTATAATTATTTTATTTGCATTATTTTCTATAAAATTATTCCAAACATTTAAATTATTTATGACATTTTCCATCATTGGTTTCTGTTTCATAGGTCTTCACATTTTTTTTATTATACTTTAAGTTCTAGGGTACATGTACACAACGTGTGGGTTTGTTACATACGTATACATGTGCCGTGTTGGTTCGCTGCACCCATTAACTCGTCATTTACATCAGATATTTCTCCTAATGCTATCCCTCCCCCATCCGCCTTCCCCACGACAGGCCCCAGTGTGTGATGTTCCCCACCCTGTGTCCAAGTGTTCTCATTGTTCAGTTCCCACCTATGAGTGAGAACATGTGGTGTTTGGTTTTCTGTCCTTGTGATAGTTTGCTCAGCATGATGGTTTCCAGGTTTACCCATGTCACTACAAAGGACATGAACTCACCCTTTTTTATGGCTGCATAGTATTCCATGGTGTATATGTGCCACATTTCATTAATCAAGTCTATCACTGATGGACATTTGGGTTGGTTCCAACTCTTAGCTATTGTGAATAGTGCTGCAATAAACATACATGTGCATGTGTCTTCATAGTAGCATGATTTATAATCCTTTGAGTATATACCCAGTAATGGGATTGCCAGGTCAAATGGTATTTCTAGTTCTAGATCCTTGAGGAATCGCCACACTGTCTTCCACATGGTTGAACTAGTTTACACTCCCACCAGCAGTGTAAAAGTGTTCCTATTTCTCCACTTACTCTCCAGTACCTGTAGTTTCCTGACTTTTTAATGATCGCCATTCTAATTGGTGTGAGATGATATCTCATTGTGGTTTTGATTTGCATTTCTGTGATGACCAGTGATGATGGGCATTTTTTCATGTGTCTGTTGGCTGCATAAATATCTTCTTTTGACAAGTGTCTGTTCATATCGTTCGCCCAGTTTTGATGGGGTTGTTTGTTTTTTTCTTGTAAATATGTTTAACTTCTTTGTAGATTTTGGATATTAGCCCTTTGTCAGATGGCTACACTGCAAAAATTTTCTCCCATTCTGTAGGTTGTGTGTTCACTCTGATGGTAGTTTCTTTTGCTGTGCAGAAGCCCTTTAGTTTAATTAGATCCCATTTGTCCATTTTGGCTTTTGTTGTCATTGCTTTTGGTGTTTTAGACATGAAGTCCTTACCCATGCCTATGTCCTGAAGGGTATTGCCTAGTTTTTCTTCTAGGGTTTTTATGGTTTTAGGTCTAACATTTAAGTCTTTAATCCATATTGAATTAATTTTTGTATAAGGTGTAAGGAAGGGATCCAGTTTCAGCTTTCTACATATGGCTAGTCAGTTTTCCCAGCACCATTTATTAAATAGGGAATCCTTTCCCCATTTCTTGTTTTTCTCAGATTTGTCAAAGATCAGATGGTTGTAGATGTCTGGTGTTATTTCTGAGGGCTCTGTTCTGTTCCATTGGTCTATATCTCTGTTTTGGTACCAGTACCATGCTGTTTTGGTTACTGTAGCCTCATATATAGTTTGAAGTCAGATAGTGTGATGCCTCCAGATTTGTTCTTTTCGCTTAGGATTGTCTTGGCAATGCGGGCTCTTTTTTGGTGCCATATGAACTTTAAAGTAGTTTTTTCCAATTCTGTGAAGAAAGTCATTTGTAGCTTGATGGGGATGGCATTGAATCTATAAATTACCTTGGGCAATATGACCATTTTCACGATATTGATTCTTTCTATCCATGAGCATGGACTGTTCTTCCATTTGTTTGTGTCCTCTTTTATTTCTTTGAGAAGTGGTTTGTAGTCCTCCTTGAAGAGGTCTTTCACATCCCTTGTAAGTTGGATTCCTAATTATTTTGTTCTCTTTGAAGCAATTGTGAATGGGAGTTCACTCATGATTTGGCTCTCTGTTTGTCTGTTATTGGTGTATAGGAATGCTTGTGATTTTTGCACATTGATTTTGTATCCTGAGACTTTGCTGAAGTTGCTCATCAGCTTAAGGAGATTTTGAGCTGAGATGATGTGGTTTTCTAAATATACAATCATGTCATCTGTGAACAGGGACAACTTGACTTCCTTTTTCCTAACTGAATACCCTTTATTTATTTCTCTTGCCTGATTGCCCAGGCCAGAACTTCCAACACTGTTGAAGAGGAGTGGTGAGAGAGGGCATCCCTGTCTTGTACCAGTTTTCAAAGGGAATGCTTCCAGTTTTTGCATATTCAGTACGATACTGGCTGTGGGTTTGTCATAAATAGCTCTTATTATTTTGAGATACGTTCCATGAATATCTAGTTTATTGAGAGTTTTTAGCATGAAGGGCTGTTAAATTTTGTTGAAGGCCTTTTCTGCATCTATTGAGATAATTATGTGGCTTTTGTCTTTGGTTCTGTTTATATGATGGCTTATGTTTATTGATTTGCATATGTTGAACCAGCCTTGCATCCAAGGGATGAAACAAATTTGATCTTGGTGGATGAGCTTTTTGATGTGCTGCTGAATTTGGTTTTCCAATATTTTATTGAGGATTTTCTCATCGATATTCATCAGGGATATTGGTCTAAAATTCTCTTTTTTTGTTGTGTCTCTTCCAGGCTTTGGTATCAGGATGATGCTGGCCTCATAAAATGAGTTAGGGAGGATTCCCTCTGTTCCTATTGATTGGAATAGTTTCAGAAGGAATGGTACCAGCTCCTCTTTGTTGAATTGATCCTTTTACCATTATGTAATGGCCCTCTTTGTCTCTTTTTATCTTTGTTGGTTTAAAGTCTGTTTTATCAGAGACTAGGATTGCAACTCCTGCTTTTTTTTTTTTTTGCTTTCCATTTTATTGGTACGTCTTCCTCCATCCCTTTATTTTGAGTCTATGTGCGTCTCTGCCTGTAAGATGGGTCTCCTGAATACAGTACACTGATGGGTCTTGACTATCCAATTTGTCAGTCTGTGTCTTTTAATTAGGGCATTTAATCCACTTACATTTAAGGTTAATACTTAATACTGTAATGTGTGAATATGATCCTGTCATTATGATATTAGCTGGTTATTTTGCCCATTGATTGATGCAGTTTCTTCCTAGCATCAATGGTCTTGACCATTTGGCATGTTTTTGCTGTGGCTGGTACCAGTTTTTCCTTTCCATGTTTAGTGCTTTTTTCAGGAGCTCTTACAAGGCAGGCCTGGTGGTGACAAAATCTCTCAGCATTTGCTTTTCTATAAAGGATTTTATTTCTCCTTCACTTATGAAGCTTAGTTTGGCTGGATATGAAAGTCTGTATTGGAAATTCTTTTCTTTAAGAATATTGAATATTGGCCCCCACTGTCTTCTGGCTTGTAGGGTTTCTGCCAAAAGATCAGCTGTTAGTCTGATGGGCTTCCCTTTGTGGGTAACCCGACGTTTCTCTCTGGCTGCCCTTAGCAGTTTTTCCTTGATTTCAACCTTGGTGAATCTGACAATTATGTGTCTTGGGATTGCTCTTCTCAAGGAGTATCTTTGTGGTGTTCTCTGTATCTCCTGAATTTGAATGTTGGCCTACCTTGCTAGGTGGGCAAGTTCTCCTGGATAATATCCTGAAGAGTGTTTTGCAGCTAGGTTCCATTCTCCCCGTCACTTTCAGGTACACCAATCAAACGTAGATTTGGTCTTTTCACATTGTCCCATATTTCTTGGAGGCTTTGTTCATTTCTTTTCACTCTTGTTTCTCTAAACTTCTCTTCTCGCTTCATTTCATTCATTTTATCTTCAATCACTGATACCTTTCTTCCATTTGATCGAATTGGCTACTGAAGCTTGTGCATGCATGACGTAGTTCTCGTGTCATGGTTTTCAGCTCCATCAGGTCATTTAAGGTTTTCTCTACACTGTTTATTCTAGTTAGCCATTTGTCTATCTTTTTTCAAGGTTTTTAGCTTCCTTGCGATGGGTTCGAACATCCTCCTTTAGCTCAGAGAAGTTTGTTATTACCGACTTTCTGAAGCCTGCTTCTGTCAACTCGTCAAAGTCATTCTCCATCCTGCTTTGTTCTGTTGCTGGCGAGGAGCTGTGATCCTTTGGAGAAGAAGGGGTGCTCTGGTTTTTAGAATTTTCAGTTTTTCTACTCTGGTTTCTCCCCATCTTTGTGGTTTTATCTAACTTTGGTCTGTGATGATGGTGACCTACAGATGGGGCTTCGGTTTGGATGTCCTTTTTGTTGATGTTGATGCTATTCCTTTCTGTTTGTTAGTTTTCTTTCTAAATGTCAGGTCCCTCAGCTGCAGGTCTGTTGGAGTTTGCTGGAGGTCCACTCCAGACCCTGTTGCCTGAGTTTCACCAGCAGAGGCTGCAGAACGCAAATATTGCAGGACAGCAAATATTTCTGCCTGATCCTTCCTCTAGAAGCTTTGTCTCAGAGGGGCACCTGGCTGTATGAGGTGTCAGTTGGCCCCTACAGTGAGATGTCTCCACGTTAGGCTACACGGGGGTCAGGGACCCACTTGAGGAGGTTGTTTGTCCGTTCTCAGAGCTCAAACACCATGCTGGGAGAACCATTGCTCTCTTCAGTGCTATCAGACAGAGACGTTTAAGTCTGCAGAAGTTTCTGCTGCCTTTTTTCAGCTATGCCCTGCCCTAAGAGGTGGAGTCTATAGAGGCCTGTGGGCCTCGTTGAGCTGTGGTGGGCTCCGCCCAATTCAAGCTTCCTGGCTGCTTTGTTTACCTACTCAACCCTCAGCAATGGCAGACTCCCCTCCCCCCAGCCAGGCTTGCCCCCTCACAGTTTGATCTGGGACTAGCAGTGAGCAAGGCTCCGTGGGCGAGGGACCCGCTGAGCCACGTGTGGGATATAATCTCCTGGTGTGCCATTTGCTAAGACTGTTGGAAAATCGCAGTGTTTAGGTGGCAGTTTCCAGATTTTCCCAGTAGAGTCTGTCATGGCTTCCCTTGGCTAGGAAAGGG
This sequence comes from Homo sapiens, assembly GCF_000001405.40. Lineage (NCBI taxonomy): Eukaryota > Metazoa > Chordata > Mammalia > Primates > Hominidae > Homo > Homo sapiens. Next base: position 85,679,763 of record NC_000007.14, read on the forward strand.
AAATACCTGGACCCCTTGCTCTTCTAGGGTGAGGCAATGTCCCGCCCTGTTTCAGCTCACCCTCCGTGGGCTGCACCCACTTTCTGACCAGTCCCAGTGAGATGAACCAAGTGCCTCAGTTGGAAATGCAGAAATCACCTGTCTTCTGCATTGATCACGCTGGGAGCTGCAGACCAGAGCTGTTGCTATTGGGCCATCTTGAAATGGGGCTTCTTCACACTTTTCAGATGTTCTAATGACTTGTTTTAATTTCTTTGACTGTAGCCTAATGATTTCCTCTTGGAGAAGTTCAAATATTTTGTTCTGCACATGCTGTTCTCTCTGTAGGCCCCAGGCTTCCCATCACTGCTTTTTCTGTGCCATACTTTATCTCTGAATCCCAGGTCTTCTTTATTGGTTTACTCCATCGCTTCTAGTAAACAAAGATTCAAAGGAAAGAGTGCATAATAAATCAAAATTTGAGCCCATAGGTATCTGCAAATTTATTCTATACCTTTGCTTTGGCAGGCTGAGCATATAATTTCAGGCTAAAAATCATTTTTACTTATACTGTGAAATTCAAAATTGCTCTATTTTTTCCAGAATCTATACTTGTTCTTAAGAAATTCACTGACATTTTATTTTCCATTTTTCACATATGATTTCTAATTTTCTCTGAATTGCTCAGAATTTTTTCTCTAAAAACAAATTAATGAAAGTTCATCATGTCATATTTTGGTGTGATTCCTTTATAGTCATCATTTAAGACCACTTGGTAGTCACCTGAAACCAGGTGACTGCTGCCCTTAATTTCTGAGAAAAATGTTTTTGTTATTATTTTAATCATTTGTTTAAATTTGTTTTTTGTTGTTTCTTTCTTTCTGGAATTCTTAGTTGGCACTGGAAACCCCTGAATTTATTTTGCAGTTTTCTAATAATTTCTCTCCTATATTTCATCTCTTTATTCTTTGGTTCTATTTTATGGTATATTTATCAAATTAGTCCCAACAATTCTTATAAAATTGATGAAATTTTCTTTTACTAGCTTGATTATCTTTTTGTTATACCACCGTGTTTTGCTGTTTTTATGTTGGATGCAATATATTTTGTCCTCTTAGAAGATTTCCATGAAATTAATTTATTTATTTGGATATTTTTATTTTCTTCTGAATTCTGAATTCTCCAGGATTAATTGCATGCTATTCATCCATATCATGTTAGAGGCTTTCTTCAAATAATCTGAGAATCTGTGGCTATCCATTTATATTTAAGAAGAATGCACTGGAAAGCCAACTAGAAGCTCTGTGTGCATAGATGGATCTTGTTGACTTCTTGCTTTAATTTAGAATGGTCAGGTGGCAGGCCAGATTTGGATAGGAGTTCCTCACATGTCAGCTTTTTCTTTGAAACTATTCTGTTTCTTCAGGAAAAAATATCTTTTAGGAGACCATGTACTGCTACCTGTTTTATTTTGGTTTAAAGTTATAAGGCTTGAGACATGCACCGCATGGTTTGTACAATTATACTTAAATAACCCGTTTAATACCACCTTTAGACCTGAGCAAGCTATGCTCCTGTTCTGGGCTGCTTGAATGGTTGCCTGGGATTTTGAGTGCCTTCCTTGAAGGATACCCTACTCTAGGATTTGACTAGGGCTGAGAGGGATTCTGGGACTACTGACTCCCACCTCTGCTATTGTACACCTGTGGTATGTATGGTATTTCTTTCACTGGCTCATATAAGATTGGGTGACAGAAGGTTGCTGACACAGTGATTCTGAGTTACTCTCAATTGAAGTTGAGGGATTTGGACTCCCATACAATCTACTGCCAAACCTTGAGGCTGAGCCAAGTGTGGGGGCCAGTGTATGGGTTCTTGAAAGTATTTCAACTACAGTGCTATTTCATAGCACAACACCTGAGGGAGAAGGAGGTATTAGTAAGCATCTTTTATCCCGTGTCCTACTTTCCAACCAAACCCTCACTTCTGGCACCAACAGATAACTCTACCTCTCCATAGGCTTCACACAATATGACGAATGGTGATTGGGGATGGCCATATTTATCACCTCAAAGACATTTAGATGTTATCATTCCGTTAGGTTGAAAGAACCTTCTGATTGACATCCTCCCCTGTGTGGAAGGTGGGAGTACATATAACATTAAAAGAGATCATTTTCTAGGAATTCATTGGTTATAGATTAATTATTTAAAAAGTCATAGTTAGAGGATGTGTCACTCTATATTTATGTTAATAAATGATTAAGGATAAATTTAAGATGGCCAGAAAATGAATTATTGTTCATATGTCTATTTACAGTATGGGTAAGATTTGCATTTGCTGTCATCATCAACAAAATATAGTAATATAACAACCTTTGAAAGAATCACTGGAAACCAATATTCATAGGCTACACTACGTATAGTACAGAATCCTGAGTGATAACATAATCGGTATGAAATAACTGGTATTCAGAAATTGCAGAAGTGATAATTTCTATATTGTTTCATGGCACTCTGAGTGTGAATAACATTGCTGCCTTTTTCCCTGGGTGGGAAATATAAAATTTCCTAGGATGGCACACTTAAAGATAACCACAAAGCCTTCATGAATATTAACAGGAAGAAATGGTGCCTAGACACTGCAAAAATTGCCACGATCAGTGATTGGACAAACTTCTCATAAGGCTGTACCTCTTCTTTGCCCATTATTCTGAATCTTCATTGATACCTCACTTAACATGGTGTTACTTATTGTGTAACTAGATTCTTCTTGAAGAGCAAAAGGCCTACCAAATATATTTCCTCAATATTCTACAAAACCAAAATATTAAATTAAAAAGTGAGTCTCTAAAAAACATCAATGAAAAGACCAGCTTCAGTGCTTCAGCACCTTGATGCAGTTGGCATTTTTCACATTTCAGTCAAATAAGGGCCAATTTGAATAAACTACTCTTCATGGCTTCCACTGTCACCCAGGGTTCTGAGAAAGGTTGGTAAGTTGAAACTGTTATGAGTCTAGAAGTGAAATTAAAAATTTTAAAGCACTACTGTTATTTGTGGTATGTGTATATGACAATGAGATCAACACTGCAACCACACTTCCAAAACTGTGAACCAAGATACTCTCTCAAATGTATTACCACACTTATGGGAGAGCTGCATAATATTTTAAATTTTCAAGGAAAACACAGTGATACTAAACATCTGTCAGACACTGAGTGCACTAATAGCTTGAGGTAATTCACAGTCTCAAAGTTGCATTGTGTTGCATTCCTTTTGATGACATCATACCTTCCTAAGATGTGTTTCTTTCATTACATGACAAAAAACAAATGCCATGTGGAAATCAATGTAGAAAAGGAAATGAGCATGAGAGTGCCTGATGTGACTTAAGGTCTTGGGGCATTGTGCAGTGCCAAACAGGTGCATGCATCTAATTTGTAAGGTACTGTGGTTACTTAAGAATGAACTAAAAATATAATTTCGTTCTTTGGATTTATGGGTATTTTTTCCAAAAGCCTACTAAACTGTTAGAACATAAACATTTATTAAGTTGTTTGGATTTAACTACTAACTAGATGGAACTGTTAGATACTGCTTTTGGCCAAGAGTGTATGCAAAGAAAAGTTACTAAGACATTAAGAGTGTTGTGAATCCAGATGTTTGGGAATCTCCAAAGCTTTGGAAGAAAAAGGACTGTTTTAAATAAATTTTTGTTAGAGTAAATTGCATTCTCTTGACCCATTGCTCCTTGGGAGATTTAAATGCACAAGCCCAGACTTTGAGGTTAATCTGTCCCATCTGAAAGTTATTGACATTTTAGAAACATCAATGTGTATTTAGGCATCTATGTAGTAATTCCTGTAAGGCTAAGGTTTCATTACTTTAACAAAAAATGTGAATGTGAAGAATATGAAATAAATTGATGTGTAAATGAATTGGGCTCATTTTAAGATACTGACATGTGCCCCAAATTTGAAATTGATCATATTGAGAGACAGGACTAGCTAGATTTCCTCGGCCGACAAAGAATCCCTAAGCCTAGCTGGGAAGGTGACCGCTTCCACCTTTAAACACCGGGCTTGCAACTTAGCTCACACCTGACCAATCATCTAGGAAAGAGAGCTCACTAAAATGTTAATTAGGCAAAAACAGGAAGTAAAGAAATAGCCAATCATCTGTTGCCTGAGAGCACAGCAGGAGGGATAATGATCGGGATATAACCCAAGCATTCGAGCTGGCAAAGGCTACCTTCTTTGGGTCCCCTCCCTTTGTGTGGGAGCTCTGTTTTCACTCTATTAAATCTTGCAACTGCACTCTTCTGGTCCGTGTTTGTTACAGATCAAGCTGAGCTGAGCTCGCCATCCACCACTGCTGTTTGCCGCCATCGCAGACCCGCAGCTGACTTCCATCCCTCCAGATCCAGCAGGGTGTCTGCTGTGCTCCTGATCCAGCCAGGTGCCCATTGCCACTCCTGATCAGGCTAAAGGCTTGCCATTGTTCCTGCACTGCTAAGTGCCTGGGTTCGTCCTAATGGAGCTGAACACTAGTCACTGGGTTCCATGGTTCTCTTCTGTGACCCACGGCTTGTAATAGAGCTATAACACTCACCACAGGGCCCAAGATTCCATTCCTTGGAATCCGTGAGGCCAAGAACCCCAGGTCAGAGAACACGAGGCTTGCCACCATCTTGGAAGTGGCCTGCCGCCATTTTGGAAGTGGCCTGCCACCATCTTGGGAGCTCTCAGAGCAAGGACCCCCAGGTAACAATATGTAATCTATACTCTCTAGTCTCTAAGAACTAACAGTCAAAAAAAAAAAAAAAAAATCAAACAGTGAAATGTAATGTAATTAAACTTCCTTTTTAAGAAAGATAGGTCTCAACTAATTTTGTGACTATCCTTAAAACTTTACAATCTGATTCTGCCAAGTTCCCCATTTATAGGTGGAGCATCTGACTTTGAGAAAGTAGACTTGTGATTTAAATTTTAGCACTTTAAGAGTTTTGTTTTTATGTACTATATGTCACTCTGCTACCTGGAAGTGAATAAATCATTGGTTGAAGGAGGCAAACCAGCAGTGCAACTGAAATGAACTAATAGCAATGGATTAAAATAGTACAGAAGGCCAGTGAGAAAGATTCTTTCTTAGGTCCATTTTGTACACTGAAGGATTTTGGCATATTTTATGTGAGTAATAAAATTAAGTAGCCATTCATTTTTCTAAACATGTTGAAAACCAATTTTATTAATTAAAACATATTTTTATAATTCTGATTACAAAACAACTGCTCAAATATTTGTAATTAAAGATCACATTTTTATACTTCATGTTTTTTAATAGCTATCCATAAATGTGGCATAAAGTGAGTGTAAAATCAGTGCACATTTCATTCTCAAGCTAGTAGTCAAGGTTTGGCTAGTGATACAGAGATAATTAGTATTATGTTCATTTTTACTTATTCTTTTTCTAGTTGTTTGACTCAACAGTATTCTTTTCAGTATGACTTTCTACTAAATAGGTGTGGTCTTCATTAGAGGGCAAAATGACCTTCAATGTGAATATAAGGGAATATGTGAATAAAAGTATTTTGTGAATATGGCTTTTTCCCATTGTGGAATAATCCTGCAGATTACTCCTTAGGGATGAAATGAGTATCAGACTGACATTGAAATGCTTCATTATTAGTTTAAAAATGAATGAAAAATTACAGAGACTGATTAGATAAAAACAAGAAAAATGATCATCAAATTTCTATAAACTTGATGGTAAAATTATGGTTTTATCAAAGCATTGTAAAGCACACGGTGTGTGGTATAAAGCGCATCTAAAAGTGTTTTAATCCCTTCTAACTAAGTAGCTTCCTTCTATCCCTTGCTCCTCCTTCTAATCCTCCTGCTCCTCCTTCTGAGAAATATAACTGATTAAAGCTTAGTGGAGGGAGTGTGGTCCTTGGAGTGAACCCAGATTTAAGTCAGAATCCCATAGCGTGTAGTACTGGGAAAGATATTTAACTTGATAATGATGTGAACCTAAAAAAAATGGGTACAAAATCATTCTCTGAGGGTTTGTATGTGGATTAATTCTGATAATGTGCATAGATGTTTAGTATAATGTGTCTCTGATAAGGTTTGGATATTTGTTGCTTCCAAATTTCATGTTGTAGTGTAATCTCCAGTGTTGGAGATAGTGTGTGGTTGGAGGCATTTGGATGACAGGTGCAGGTCCCTTGTGAATGAATGGCATAGAACCATCCCCTTGGTGATGAGTGAGTTCTGACTCTAAGTTCACATGACATCTGTTTGTTTAAAAGTATGTGGCACCTCCCCCACTTCTCTCCTGCTATCATGCTCATCATGTAACATCCTGGCTCCCTGCTGCCTTCCAGCATGATTGCAAGCTTCCTGAGACCTTGCCAGAAGCAGATGCTGGCATCATGCTTCCTGCAAAGCCTGGAGAAACATGAGTCAATTAAACCTCTTTTCTTTATAAGTTACCCAGCCTGGGTATTTTTTTAAATGGCAACACAAAAGCAAACTAACACAGAAAATTGACACCAAGGAGTGAGGCATTGCTACAAAGACACCTGAAAATGTGGAAGTGACTTTGGGGGTGGGTAATGTGCAAAGGTTGGACAACTTTGGAGGGCTCAGAAGAAGACAGGAGGAAGGGGGAAAGTATGGAATTTCTTAGAGACCTGTTAAATGGCTGTGCTCAAAATGCTGATACAAATATGGACAATGATGACCACACTAATGAGTCTCAGATGGAAATAAGGAACTTTTTGGGAACTGAAGTAAAGCTTATCCATCACCCATGTTACATCCAAGAAAAGAACTCAACTGCATTGTGTTCATGCCCTTAGGATCTGTGGAATTTTGAACGTAAGAACGATGACGTAGGGTATCTGGCAGAAGAAATCTTAAAGCAGCTAAGCATTCAAGATGTTGTGGCTTGGCTGCTTCTAACTGCCTATGAATAGAGGTGGAAACAAAGAAATAATTTAAAGTTGAAACGTGTATTTAAAAGGGAAGCACAGCATAAAAGTTTGAAAAATTTGCAATCTATGCATGTGGCAGAGAAGAAAAAATTTTCAGGAGGGAATACAAGCAGGCTTTAGAGCAAGCAGTTACTTGCTAGAGAGATTAACATGACTGAAAGGGAGTGAAGTGTTAATATGCAAAACAATGGGGAAAAGCTCCAACCATGTTTAGAAGGGCTCTGGGTAATGCTTAAGCTGCTACTCTACAGGGTGCAAGCCATAAGCCTGGGTAGCTTCCACCTGGTGTTTTCTGCAGGTGCGCACAATGCAAGAGTGAAGGAGGCTTGGCAGCTTCTTTCTGGATTTCAGAGGATGCATAAGAACGCCTGGGTGCCCAGGCAGAAGCCTGTTGCAGGGTTGGAGCCCTCACAACGAACATCTACTAGAGTAGTGTAGAAGGGAAATGTAGGATTGGAGGCCCCACACAGAGTCCCCAACAGGGCATTGCCTAGTGGATCTGTGGAAAGAGTGCCATTGCCCTCTAACCCCAGAATTGTAGAGCCATGGGCACCTTGCATCCTGAGGCTTGAAAAGCTGCAGGCACCCAACACCAACTGAGAGCAGTCACAGATGCTGTACACAGCAAAGTCACAGGGGCAGAGCTGCCTAAAGCTGTGGAAGCTTACCTCTTGTACCAGTGTGCCCTGGGTATGGGACGTGAAGTCAAAGAAGATTGCTTTGTAGCTTTAACACTTAATGACTGCTCTGCTTGGTTTCAGATTTGTGTGAGGCCTAGTGTCCTTTTTGGGTGATTTCTCCCTTTTAGAATGGAAATGTATGCCCAATGACTGTACCACCATTGTATCTTGGAAGTATATAACTTGTTTTTGATCTCACAGGTTTATAAGTGGAAGGAACTCATCACTAGATGAAACTATGGACTTGGGACTTTTGAGTTAATGTTGGAAAAAGTTAAGACTTTTAGGAAACTATTGAGAAAGTATGATTGTTATTTACAATGTCAGAAGGACATGAAATTTGTGGGGGGTGGGCAGTAGCAGAATGATATGGTTTGGATGCTTATGCCCTGCAAGTCTCATGTTGAAATGTAATCTTCATTGTTGGAGGTGGGGCCTGGTGGGACATGTTTGGCTCATGGGGGCAGATTTCTCATGAATGACTTATCATCATCCCCTTGCTAATGAGCAAATCCTGGCTCTGAGTTCACACAAGATATGGTTCTTTAAAAGTGTGTGGTGCCTCCCCACTACTCTTTCCCCACTCTTGTCATATGATGTGCTGGCTCCCCATCACCTTCCACTGAGCTTCCTGAGGTCCTCACCAGAAGCAACTGCCAGCACCATGCTTCTTGTATAGGCTGCAGAACCATGAGCCAAAATAAATCCTTTTTTTAAATAAATTACTCAGTCTCATGTATTTTTATAACAATAAAAGTGGAGTAATACAGTTTCTCTTACTTCCCAAGCATTTATTTCCTAGCTCTGTCAGATTACTCAAGGTCTGTAACTTGCCTGAACCTCAATGTCTTCAATTAACAAACCGAGGCTAATGATAGCCCATATACTTACCCATAAGATTGTTTTAACAATTACATAATGATCCTAGTAAAATATACTTTAAAATTGCTGCCACAGGTAATACATATTAGCTGTTTATGATTATATTACTTAATTACTATATTATGATTATATTACTACCTTTTTTATTACTACTAGTGATGTAACTATTTTTCCAACAAGTTCCACCCACAGTAAACAGTTTACTACGGCCCTTCTTTTCATGCTTGACAGTATAGATTCATTATAAAATTAATTACTGAGTGAATTAAAAAATAAATTGAATTTGGCACTATTTAAGTATCTAAAAATTTCAAAAGAATGTTCATGAGATAAATTGCACTTTCATAAAAGGCCTGTGGTTCAAATATGTTTTCTCAAATGAGTTGGATATATAACTGAAGCTGCTCTCCCATGTAAAAATTGAAGATCTCAATGAGAACAAAGTAGAGAAAGGGAATTCTATCTGTTTGCAAAGGCAGCCAAAATAATTTAAGATTGATTCTCTACCCACTGGGAGATTTCATACACTCATCACTTTCCTTTAGTCTGATATATGGGCAGTTCCTTTTAATTCTCTTATTCTTGGCTCCCACAAATGATTGCTTTGCCAGAAATAAGGCCACAACTCAACAATGCCAGATGGGCTGTGCTCCACATGCGCTCAGAGAAGGCCTGAGGCCTGTTTGTGACACAGGTCGTGTCTGAGGTGAGTTAGAGATTTCTCTCAAATTTCACAAAAGCTTATGGTGGTATTCAGCAATTGTTTGAAATGGAAAAAAAAATCAATTTGCTTTTCATAATGTCACATGAAGGGACACAATGCCATGCTTGTAAATAAAGTACATTGAATAAGATATGGTATGAAAGCCATTTTTAATTCAAAGAGCAGAATACATCCAAAACTGAAATTTCACATTTGAAAAACACAGGCCCTAAATTTGAATGCTTCTACCTTGCTTATTGATTCTTTTTAATTAAAAACTTGTTAACAGAATTAATATTACATGGATTAATAAATTAGTAAATGGTTTGCCAGGACTTTGCCCAGGATTCTTATGAATTGTAAGATTGGGAAATGCAGTGTAAACTTTTTGATCTTTTTTGACATTGTATCAGACATATCATTGACATAGCTGTCTGCATATCAAAATCAATTTTATTCATTAGAAGCTATGATGTTTTCTACTAACATTTGCCCTGAAATTTTAAGAATAAAGAGTATTTCTGTAACCCACTTTTCTGAACTAGGATTTGAAATAAACCAGTTGTGATGCTTCTGGGCACTGGGAAGACTTTCCTGATCTCACCCTCTCAAACCTCATATGCTATAAAGATAAGATAAACAGGGACTAAATGCATAAAACAGAATTGTATATCTGAAATTCATAGAAAACATGTCAAAATAAACTGTTGAAGCACTTGTTTCAAAATCTTGAATTGTATATGAGATCATAAAACAATGGTTTAGAGATTTCTTCTCAATGGTGGCTTTCTTATGAGGTTGGAAAGCATGCACTACGTAATGCTTAGTCTGCAAATGTCAATGTGATAATACATAATGATTTAAGATGAAATATTAAATGTGAGTTCCAGGACGACAGAGACCATCCCTTACTTATATACATATAGCATTACAGAATCCATGACCTATTGCAGACACTCAAAGCATGTTTATTAAATGTAACTAAATTGAGTCACACCATTTCGTTGTAGAGTAAACAGAATACTAGATTGGCAATCTAGGTCAGCAGCTCTTAAAACTAGCATGCACAAGATTTCCCAGAAGAGCTTTTAAAATAGTTTTCTTGGCCGGTCGCGGTGGCTCACGCCTATAATCCCAGCACTTTGGGAGGCTGAGGCGGGCAGATCACGAGGTCAGGAGATCGAGACCATCCTGGCTAACACGGTGAAACCCTGTCTCTACTAAAAATATAAAAAATTAGCCAGGCTTGGTGGCGGGTGGCTGTGGTCCCAGCTACTTGGGAGGCTGAGGCAGGAGAATGGCGTGAACCCGGTAGGCGGAGCTTGCAGTGAGCGGAGATTGCGCCACTGCACTCCAGCCTGGGAGACAGAGTGAGACTCCGTCTCAAAATAGATAAATAAATGAAATAAATAAATAAAATAGTTTTCTTTCTCTCTCTTTCCACACACGTGCAAACATGCACATATACACAGATATGCATGTATTCACTAGGTCTAAATTAATAGTACAGGATAAAAATTCAAATAATAAAGAGTAAAGAAGGGGAAAAAAAGAAACTCATGTTAAAAAAAAAATTCCTAGGCATTGAGAAGAAAACCAGGCCATGTCTTCTAGCAATCAAAACAAAGGAAATATCTTTATGTCTATTTTATTTAGAATTGAATACATGACATTGGTAAAGATGAAGAGGAGACTACTGGTAAGCGGCCATGTATCAAGTAATGAGAGTATTTTTTTTCCTAGGCATTTCATCATAATTAAAATATTGTTATAAAATAATTCTGTATTCCTGTAACTAAGGAAATAGCTCCCATTTTAATTCCATCTTAGAGGTCTTCTGTCTTAACCCCCAACTGAAGCCAACCTCAGTGAATAATTTGAGCAAAATAAAGGGAAGACAAAAGTTAATAGAAAAAAATGGTAGAGGCTTACAACACAACACTATCATTTGTAGTAACCTTCCACACACGCATGATTTTACATTTTTACATCTAGACTATATTTGGCCTTAGGGTAAGATTATTTTGTAAAAACTAAAGCTTCCATAATTTGTTTGGTTTACAAGTTATGTGAATTGACTGCTTAGAGCACATGGTAAATTTGTTTTACAAACTTTGCAGTAGAGTGAACTCTACCGGGTTTTACACTTTTTCTGAAGATTATTTGATTTATGAAATCCTTGTGCATCCTGGGATTACCAAATATAAAATGCCAGGTCTAACTACTGTCAGGTCCTTCACACTGAGTCTTGGGATATATTTAGCAGTTAAAGTGACTGCTAACAGAATGTGAGTAAAAGTTGGCTTTTGGTTGAATGTTATATTGACATAATTATTAGTTCCATACTCATTAAGTGAATATCTCATCTATATGTATGGATGTTTATGTTACATTTGGCAGTGTTTAATTAGTTGAAAATGTTTTATGGTACATTTTATAGTTAGTAATTTATTTATTTTTATTACAAATCTCCAGTTGTAAAGAAAATAGCATTCCCTGTCTAAGTACTGCCTGAATCTATATATTCTAGCCAACTGTGCTATGGGTGTTCATGTCAGCTGCCTTTCTCTTATAGCTGATGCAACCTGGAAATCAGTATCTCCCAGTTAAGCCAGTACAACCGTACTAAGGACAGATCCTAGATTGCACAGGGAAGTGAAACAAATGGAAAACCATGCCACTGCATGAAGAGACATTTTGGAATGAGGTTCTTACTGAATTCATTGGAAGAAAACAATGCCTTTTAAATAAAATTTATATTTAATTAATCACTCTATGAAAGCCATATCTAAAGTTTAAAACTTGAACAATTGCAAATCATAGCATCTCTTTACATCCAATTAGTAATAAAAAAAAGTTATAAGGAAATGAGCATTCCAAAGTAGAACAGAGGGTGTGTGTGCAATGTGAGATATGGAGGAAGAATAGGCAGAGAGAATAAGTCAGACCATACACTTCCCATCCAACAGATGCATAAAGATTTCACCAATTCTTAGTGAAAAAAGGTTGAATGAAACTTAATAGCAGGAAACAGCATATGTATTTTTTATTGCATACATTATTACCTTACTTAACTATATGAAAAAACTAATACTTTTTTAGATTTTGGGGGACCAAATTCTGGTAAATACATAAAACAATCCAGTTATTTTTTCAAATTCATCTCTAGCCAATTGGACTGTAGCTCGCAATTGAAATAGAAGATTTCATTGTGGAAATTAAGATGATGAGGCAAACAGCATTCTTTGTGGTGGATTTAGCTTAGTTGATACGTGTTCTGTGTTGAATAAAAGTTGAGAAAGCCCTATACAGAAAACAGACAATCTGTCTTCACCTTTTAATGCTGCATTCAACCAGCAATGGATCCAGTTTTGAAATATCTAGACTTAGACACGTAGGCTAGGCAGCTAAGTTTTCTTCTATCTATAGAAGTCTTAGATATTTCCTCTTCTCTAAGAGGCAGAATTGGACAAATTATGCAACTTTCAGGGCCTCAGTTTCCTCATATATAAAATCAGTATAATAATGGTATCTATTTAATATGGTTGAGAAAAGAGTGTTGGAATTAATACATACAAAAAAAACTGTAAAAAGCTTCATGGCACATAATATATGCACAAAATCATAGCAAGGCAGAATAATAGGGTGTCCAAGAGCACAACACTACTAAAAATTAATTGCCTGAGCTCAAATTCAGGACTCCCCCACATCCTAGTGGTGTGACCTGACTTCAAGCTCAGTTTTCATATGTGTAAAAAGGGGATTAAAATAGTACTACCTTACAGAGGCATTTTGCTGAATTGAGACTGTATGTGTAAAACACTTAGGGCAGCTTTGTAAAATTTAGTTACTTTTTTGTAATTGTCATTATGAAATATTTATAAAATTATGCATGTTAGTATCTACATAAAGCATTTTTTTGTTGCATTCAACAGTGTAGCTTTAAAGGCTTTATCATGTTTACTTATAAGGAAAATGGCTAAAAAGTAGAATTCAGGTTCTTGGGTTAGTATTCAAAAGAGAAACTGATGTCTTCTGAGAAGTTTAACGTATCAGCAAAAACATCTACAAGGCAAATTATTATTGCCATGTCATGGCATTATAATAATAGTAATTCTCTAAAAATGATAAAATTTGCTTATAGAAAGAATATGCAGTGATGTGATGTGATATTGGAAACATATCCTGGTTACTTAAAAATAAAAATAATTCTTTTTGCCATGTAAACACACCAAACACATTAAAATCAAGGTAATTGATGGCCCTGTCTGAGAATTTTTGTTTCATATTGTTTACAACTATAGCATTTCATACCTTATGAAATTGAAATATGTAATTTCTCTAAAGGAAGGTGGTTATAATTACATGATGAGACACTGTGAATAAAAATTGTGTAATTATTTGTAATCCCACAAAGTGAATTATTCAATTAGATGTTTCCACATAATGCTGAGCTCAAGAAGGAGTCACCTAATTTGTGCAGCCTGTTTCTCCATTTTCTCAGCCTTCTTATGTGCTTTAGAAGCCTGAGTCAACCAATTAAGTTTGGGATCTCAGGCATTTTTTGCTGAGATCTCATAAATAAATAACTGTCCTTTATTTCTTTTCCCCTGTCCTTTTCCTGTTGTCACCAACCCATGTTTTATAACAGCCACTTCCCTTTAACATTCTTACTCTATGGCCTGTAATGCGCGCACCCTTAATAACCACTTAGTTACTGATGGCCTGCTTCATACAGTAGCTTTATACATATTTCATACATTTTGTGCATTCCTTTAAGTGATTTTTACATCTTCAAGAGATAATCCATTCCACTGCTAAACTATAATAATGATGTCAAATGACACTTTCCAGTGGAAGGAGATTGTATTTATGGAAATTTTTATTGAAAGCTTTTACTTTCCAAAATACTAAAATTTAAATCATGTAAAGGAAGATGTATAATAAATTTAGCTTGATTTTTAATGATAATGTGTCTTATTCTCTGTAGTTGTCTTCTTTATGCTGCACGTCTCTTGTCCATCTGTTCTCCATTTTGTGATGGTGATCCAGGTGGTTCTTCAGTACATGAGTACATGAGACTGCAGGCATTTATAGATGGAGAAGAGCACATGGTAGTCCTATTACCATAATCAGGTTTTGATAGAGAAGAGCACATGGTAGTCCTATTACAGTAATCAGATTTTATGTTGGTTTCAAAGTGAGAAGAGTGTTTTGAAATGCCAAAAGCAATTTCATCCTATAAAAAGACCAAATTGCTATTGAAAACTTTCCTTAGGCAGCAATTAAGCACATTTTTTTTTTTTCCTGGAAGTGATTTTGGTTCAGAGCATAAAAAGAAAGTTAATGATTTGGGGAAAATTTTTCCTAACTCAACATGTCTGTGATAAAACAGTGGGTTTACTGATAGCAGAAAATCATATGATGCAGGGTTTTGAAAATTAATCCTCACTACCATACACAGTGTTTGGCCTATTGGCTAGTAAATTATAGCTTCTGGCTTTTTCTATACTTTTAGCTCTTATAAAATGCAAAATGGCATACACCTGGCTTTTAAAAGCAGTAGTTAATCAAGCACTTGAAATTAATGCTAGCACTCAAAATAATTATGTTTACTTTATCCTAAGTTTTAAATCTTATAGTTTTCAAATATATATAAATAAATTAGTGACACTATTATTGAAATCATATATTTATTTCTTATAAAGAAATGTATGGAAAATGTATTGTTCAATGAGTGTGTTCAGTTCGTTTTGGGAGAACATTTCTGCATGAGAGAATTGCTAATTGTTTTGGGAGAAGACAGTTCTGCATGAGACAATAGTAATCTTGTTTCCAAAATTTTATTACCTTGGGCAAACCATGAATTATTATTGTGCCACTGTTTTTTGAAATCATGTTCAATAATCTGAAGTCAATGTATTTAATCAGAAGTAGTATGAAATGAAGTTTCTTGAATGAAGTGTTTCAAAACAAAATGATATAAATTTTTTATAGCAATATTTTGAAGATAATTTGGTGTATTTTTAAATTTAATATTGCATTGATATTACTGGACTCATTTCTATTTTATTGACACACAAAAAAAATCTTAACATGAAAAGCCTTTCTTTATTCTTAAACCATCATAAATATTTCAAATATATAACCTACTGGTTCTTTTTAAGAAGAAAATAAATTCATGGCACTAGATTTTGGAGGGAGCAGACCAAAGCAACATACCACAAGCATGAGACTTATATAAAAGTTTTTATGATGTGTATCCTGGAAAAAATGTAATTCTACCTGAGAATATATCAGTGTACTTTTACATACCAAAACATAAATAGCATTTATATTTCTTATCTATTAAATAACATACTTTCCCCCAAAACTCCAGGTAAAATTGAAAGAAAGGTCTGCTTAGTTATCTTCTAAGGAAGCTTATATTTTTTCTCACGTTTACAACTAATCTTACGTTTTGCAGCAGTTAGTGCCATATTAGTACCGATTTTTAAAGCTGTTTTACCTGTATAAGATTATAATTTAAACTCCATGCCTTTTTACTTGCATGAGCAACTTCCAGGGCCCTTGCAGAGGACCTAGCAATGTATTCTCATGTACTTGTATTTTCAATACAATGTACCAAAGTAAGTTATTTCAACAAAAATCACTTGAGATTATTGTCTCTTTACTCCAACTTCAATGTCAAGTGGCTTTGAAGTAGTCATGGGCATTTTTGGAATCTGCCTAAGGGCATGTTTGAGATATATCTTGTCGGAGTTTAGTGCAATATCTTTTTATTTACATTTGTAGTCACTTCTGTGCATAGTTAACTTATTGCTCATGGTCTCCTCCTAGCAAAGGTTTCTAGAAGTGCTGTGCCAACTTGTTCAGCATTGTGGCAGGGAGGTACAAAGCCAAAGAGCATATTGCAGTGCAGTATGAAAGACTTGTTTTATGTCATGAAATGTATTAAGCTACTTATTGATGTCTGTAAAAGTCTTTCCATTGGCTGACACTTAGGTCAAAACAAATTTATCCTCTTCAGATATATACTCAACCCTAAAATCCTAGAGCTAAATAATCGTTTATAAACATTTCTTTCATCTGTGCTAAAAGATAACTTCAACTATTTCTCTACAGAGCTAATACAAAAACACTATTATATAAAAAGGTAATGATGTTTACACCAAAAATAGTGGGACAAAATGTATCCTACGATTGTGTCTGGCTGATAATTAAGTTAAAAACACATTTTTATTATTTTTCTGGATTTTTGTAATGTACGTACTATATGTCAGTTTGTTATAATATGTTATTTTTTGTGATTTAGTTTCCCATTTTATATAAATTTTCATTTTCATGCAGTAACTCAATTCATAATGTTTTATTTTTAAACAGAATCCCACAAATTATGTAAGCTCCAGGCCTCACAAAACTGAATCTGCCTCAATTTATAAATAATAATTAATTTATATTTATCTTGGTTATTTTATGATTTAGATCATGTAAGTAACAAAATCAAACTTGCATCTGTGATAATCTAAGCTAATAAATCTTCAAAACCATCACAAAAGATAGCACTTAATTCTAATAAAAAATAACAACTACCAGTTACCAGGTACTTTTCAAACACTTTTGTCCATTTTAACTTAATTATTAATTTCTGTAAGCTCATAAGGAAGATTCAATAATTATATTAACTCTATTAAATAAATAAAATTGATGCATAGAGAGGATCAGAGATTTGCCCAAGCTTGTATAGTGAAAATTTGAATCCAGGCAGCTTGATTCCAGCATCTGTACTCCTAACCACTATACTATACTATGGCTCAAGGTATCGTCTTTCACCTAGTAGGAGATCCTCAAATGGTAGACATGCTCAGATGAACTTAACCAGCTTACCACCTTAGTAGTTGTTTGTGGTTTTTTTTTAATCCCATGTTTGGGCATGGAAACATATGAAGTGATTAAGAATCATCTAGTATCTTTTCAATGTCCAGGAAGCTAAGGCATCTTCCCCACATGGTGTTGGTTGTAGGGCTCAAAACTATATCTGTATCCTGAAAATTCCTCCAGGTCATTCTGACATACTTTTTAGATGACAACTACAACAATAGAATAATTGCAAGAATAGATTATGAAAAAAATTAGAGAAATTAAAATTCTTCTCGAATGAATTGGCATTCTGTTTTTTTAATGGTACTCCAATTTGGTGTCCCCACAAACTGTTGTGTTTGTACTAGTTTTAGAAAGAGAAGAACTTACACTTAACATGCTAGAGAAGGTATCCAAAGCAATTCAAACAGACTTAATTAGACAATGAGCACTTTAAAATGACTTAAGTAGTACCTACTTGATCTTGGAAACATAGCTGAGTTTTGTTTTGTCTTGTTTTTGAAATGTACAAGATTGAAAAAGCAACACCATACAATATGTTACTCACATATATTTGTATAAGTGATAAAACTCATTTTAAAACTCGGCAATAATAACACAATTCAGAATAGTGGTTATCTCTGCAGTAGAAGAGCTGGGAAGAAAGGAAGAGAAAGAAGGAATAGGCAGATATGAATTACCAATTATATGTGTGGGTGTTTGTAGGGAGTTGGGTGGTTGTCTTTTTCAGTTTGCTTTAGTTTTGAGTTAAATGATGTGTTCTCTATTTCAGTAAAATTATTTTAGTAAAATAAACAAATGAAGTAAAAAGTTAAATGCAAGCAACACTAAAGAGTATATTATTTAGGCAAACACATATATGTACTAAAATAATTTTTAAAAGGGTTACACATAAACCAATAAAAGTAGTGTTTTACCAACCAAGTATGATGTTTATACTATACACATTACCAAATCCAGGAAAATAATGAAAATGTGTTTTTAACTTAATTACCTGCTTGACACAGTTGTATGATACATTTTTTTCCTACTATTTTTGGCTTAAAACTCTAACTTTCTATATAATCATGCTTCTGTAATAGCTCTGTAGAGAGTTTTAGCACAGATGAAAGACTTTTTTAAAAAAGATTATTTGCTCTAAGATTTTAGAGCATTGTGGGTGTATACCTGAAGACTGATTTAGGCAATTTCCTGCCCCAGAATGTGTGCATGTCTTTACTTAGTACTTCTTCCTATGTGCTTAGTGCTAACCCAGTTCTTCAATTTTTTTACTTGACCTACAACCTAAAAGGAGAGATCCTTGAAAGAGGAGGATTTTAATTTTTTTCTGCCTTCCTGATGGCTCAGTGTATGAAACAAAAGAAGCAGGCAATTTGCTTAACAAATGAATGAATGCTGGCTATAATATTTATTAGTCATATCATGTATTATTTAGTAACTCCACTCTCTCTCTCTCTCAGAGCATATAATCATTGTAAAGTATTTACCATGAAATAATATGAAGAGCCTCTAATAAATGTGGATTGTTCATTCAACCTGATAATTTATTTTAAAAACCCACAGTGCTATTAAAATCATAGAGAACTTAATAAATTCTTTACTTATTTTTAGATCAAAAGAAACATACAGTTTGCCATGTAGAAACAACTACTGAGAAAATTAATAGCCGTATACCTAGCTAGGCCAATTTGAAAAAAATCAATTCATTTGATTCCCAAATCCCATTACCACTCTTTCTCCTTTTTCTTTTTCCAGTACTTTTGCTTTGAACAATACCTTTTCATAGTTAATGTACTTGTGATATAAATCCTGGATATGTGTCAAAAACTTTGTGAGGGTAGGGTGCAATTCAATAGCCCCACGAAAACATTGTTTGAGTTATGTTGGTTTTGGATGCTTCTCATTAAAATTTGAAATTACAGCTATCAGATGAATAAGATGAGTGTGTTGGTATTAACAAGATCTTATGATTATGAGGTTTCCTTTTTGCTGAAAATTCTTGACTTCTGGTCAAATTGGATATGCTTCAGTAATTTTCTCTTGTGTGCATTAATATCAACTTTCTCTCATACATTTAATTAAAACTTTGGTGTTCTGCTTTAAATTCCACTTCCCTTCTCTAATCAGAAAGATGGTAATTATTGGGAAGCCTATCAATACTCCCCATAGGCACACATGAAGGCCATAATTTTCTTTAATCATCATTTATTAATACCCTAAATGCAAATATTATCAAGTAAGCGTTTGTATGCATATAAAACAACATCTTAGTCCAAACCTTTAAAATTTTACAAAGCACAATATTACATAAAGGGTATGCCATTTGGAAAATGTGTTTTCCATTTCTTTCCAACTCTTGATATTCTCCTTCATGTTCACTCTTTCAGAACTCTTTCCACCTGGTCCTTGACCTAATGCCTCAGGGTCCCACTCTTTGTTAGCTAGTCACACTATTCTATCTGTGTTAATGTTTTATAAGTGGTAACCCTTAAAGTTTTGTATCCTTCCAGCTAACAAATTTCAACAGAAATTTTTTTGTCTCCTGTAATCCAAAGACAGAATTAACACTGAGGGTTTCAGACTTTCTAGCAAGTCATTATAATGAGTAATTTTCTGGTTTTAGATACCTTTGGTATTTAAAAGAATCAGGAAATTCTATATTACTAGATGATTAGGAAAGAGTAAGAGACAAATACTACCTTTGTTTCCTCAGAGTAGCAATTCTGAGAGTGAATATGTGCTCCTCCACGGGTAAGTTCTGATATGATACAGAAAAAAAAAAATGTGGTAATAGAATCCAGCTCTCATGGTAAATAACTCTGGCCCTAGTGGTATGCAAAGTGTGAGAAGTGCTAACTTATAGGCCAGTGCATACTCCCAAGTGAATTAACCTGGTTTTAGATGTATAGAAACAAAATAAAAAGAAAAGTCAGTGGTTAAAAAACACTAATGTTCGGGCTTTCATGCTGTAAAAATGAAAACCATTGTGGAAAGGCCATCATTTGAATCATTTAACAGGAGAAGATGAAGCATTTGGTAGTATTCTTTGGGGAGTAATGTTTCAAGTGCAGAAAGAAGCACTGAAGGAATAAAATGGGCCAGCGGGCATTTTTCAGTTTTAGGCTGTCTAATATTATGGTTCATTTCTATCTTCCTTTGGCAATAAAAATGGTTTGTTTCAGTATCCACAGAGCTTTATTCCTTGAGGTGAGTTTCATTCTCCTCAATGTTTTCAGACCATGCCTATCTGGGACATACACCCTCAAGTGAAAGAAATATCAGCATGATGATAGTTTTTTAGCTCCATGAAGTTAGAAGGTCAATCAAAGTTTCTTTTCCATTGGACTATTTGACATCTGTTATAATCAAGTAAAAGCATTGTCTAGCAACTGAATTTCTAGATATGCTTTAATGTTGTTGCAATTATGCCCTTAAGTTTAATTAGATAGATATTATTAGAAGTTTATGGAATGGAGCAAATTGGTATGAAATAGAGTAAAAACAGAAGTAACGATATTTCTTTTCTCTTTCCTCATTGCATATCAGACAACACTTTAACAATATGGGAATTTTAGAAGACACTGTTTTCTCACTGTCTTCTCTGAATAGACCCTATTTGTTATTTATAATCTCATATTTAGAAAGCTCTTTGCTATACATTTTACTCATATTTTATTAAGCCATGACAAAGTGGTCTCAATTTAATAGATGAGGTCATTGAATCATATGCTTATTAAACATAAAGAGATGCTTGGGCATTTGAAGTTAAAGTAGAAAGGGACAAAAGATAAAGAATGGTGATGCAATATGTATATACCTACAAGGGAAATAATTCTGACTACTAGAGAATTAGGAAACATGCTTTCATCAGGGGGTGATTATAAGTCTAGGAATAGGAATGTTTTGTGCATGGTTATAATGTTATATAATTATATATATACACACACTTAACATATATAATTTTAATATATTTAATATGATACAAATATAGATATATTTAAAATGGTATATGTTGCTATTTAGTGTAAATATCACTAATTCTTACTATTCCATTACAATAAAGTGTACAATGGAATATGCCTAGCGTATGTGTTTGATTCCTCAGCTCACTATTGAATGCAAAGAAATTAGAAAAAATTTATAGTTAAGTGAATTATCCATAAGCTTCTAAAATTATTTAATTTTATTCTCAAAATAATTCCCTGCATTTTTATATTTTATTTTTTTATCTTCTTTTTCATCTTATTTTCTTATTTTTTATTCTTATGTTTCTTCTTCTCCTATTATAAACCTTATCTCATTGATTTCTAACCTTTTATCTTAAAACTCATTTTCAATGTTTAGGATTTTTAAATCCTTAAAGTGAGGAGGTAGCATGGCAAAACAAAACAAAACAACAATAAGAGCAAGTATTTTAAAATTGCTTACTACAATATAATCTATTTTAATAATTTTATTTATATTTAGTCTGCGGATAGTCCTTTGCAGTAGATTAAATTATGATTCTTGCTTTCAAATTAGAATATTGACATTGAGAGGTTCAATAACTTGTTCGTGTCACACAGGTAATTAATGTCAGAGCCTGAATGCAAACTCAGAGCCTTTCTGAACCTTCCCTGTTGATGCTCCTTTATACATATTCTATGTTTTTCTGAATGTTTCCAAAAAATTTACCACAAGGATACCTAGAGGCTCATTGGTTAACTTTTTCCAGAACACAAATTATTCAATGTACAATTAACAGACTTGAGTTTCTGAACCAGAACTAAATCCTTGCCCTTGTAGGAAGGGATTTATGTCTTAAGGTTATGGCATGTACAATCAGTACATTTTGAGTAAAAAACAAAAACAAATGATGGATAGAAGTCAGAAGATAAATGTAAGGGAGGGTCCCTTCTGGCAAGACTGTTTCTCAACTTTGCAGAGAAATGAAGTACAGTGGATATCTTAAGAATCAGTAGCAGAAACTCAATAGAAAGATTATACTCCCTAGCTCTGACATCGTAAATATTCAAGCCTGACTCCAAAAGCATCATTTACCGTTTTTCTGTCCCACTAAAATTATTGATGGAATCATGTGAGTATTCTGGTGGTATGTGGGACCCCTCAATATTTTCTGTTAATTATGAAGTCAGTAGAGACTAACTATTGTGGACAGTTACTCCAGAAAAGTTGTTTATTTTATAATAAGAGATTAAGTGTGGTCTGTGAAATGCTTTTCTTTATTTCAACTGGAGCCCTCTTTATTTCAGCCTGAGGCTCAATCTAACCCAAGCCCGCAGAATATGCTAGCCATAACTTTAATATTTGTGAATCTCATTTTGGATACATGAGGATTGAACTTTTTAACACCAAATATTTCCAAGTAAATTATTAATAGTTTAAGAAATAAGATGTTATTGGCTTTCAGATGCATTATTTTATATAATACAACAGCTTCAAAATACAGAAAATACTATTATTCCTTCTTTATAGGTATAAAAAAGTGAAAAAAACTGCCTTAAAAATAGCACATCTGCTAGGCTGAAAGGCCCATTTAAAGGCTATGTCTGCCTCAATTCAGAGATCAAGATCAACATGTTAGCTTTCATATTTGATTAGTTTAGCTTCTCCAGATACTTACTTGAGTTATTTGTGGAACCTAAATAAAGAACTCTCTCTTTTGTTAGGAACTGCTTTCTAACTTTTGAATGATAGCCATGATTATATGCTTTGTCTGGCTTTATTTTATTTCTGAACCCAGATCCTCTACCAGTGTACTTTACCCAGTTTAGTCAATCTCTGTTTAAAGTCTAACCATGCTCCATATTGAGGCAGTAGAGATATAAATACCACTTAGCACCATATTAGTTTGATTTACCTCCAAACAGTTATGACATTAAATAATATTAACTTCTCTAGTGAGGCTGATTTTTGTATTTTTAAAATAACTGAATTAATCTCTGTCTTCAATTTATTTCCTTTTAATTTTTTATTTTATTTTATTTATTTACTTCATTTATTTTTATTTTATTTTTTATTTCCTTTTTTATATTATCAATTCACTTATTGACTTATTGCATCATATGCATTCTTATAACTATAAACACCTTTTTGAGCATCGTATGATAAAACTAGATGTATTCATAATTAGTACTGTTACTTATTATTATTAATGCTTATGTTAGGTCCATTATTAAATCAACATAAACACACATGAGACTTTGTTTTAAATGAAGCGGAATTTAAATTAGTATTTTCTATCTATTAATGTTTTTATGGATATGATGTCTATAAATGTTTATGGATGTTATAAGCTGAAAGTTACATTTTTAAATAACAATCCACTTTTTAAGTAACACACTTACTAAATAACATTTAAAATAATCCACACTTATAAAATAATTCACTTCAAAATAACTTTAAAAATAACTGCCTTTGAAGCAAAAGAAATGAAGTATATAAAGAGCTCTGTAGCCTGTGAATACATGCATTTCACAGATTGGAGAAGGGAAAATGTGAACTTAATTTCTGGTAATTCCAGATGTTTGATGTCTAGGATGCATAATTTAAAAAGACATTGTTGCTACAATTATCTGATCCCTTCTTAAATCTCATTGTTGTGTTTTGCTTTCCGGTTGTTCATTTTATGATTACAAAAATTACTTTGATAACAAATATAATGTTTATTTTAAAAAATAGAAACAGGAAACAACTCAGTATTTTCTACATGAAAAATGAAAATGAAGACTTTCATTGAAAAATGAAATCTGTGCTAACCTCTGACACTGCCTCTTACAAAATCCTAATAAAAGCACATTTGGAAACAGAACTTAATTATAAGATTGTTTAAACTCAGTTTTCAAAGGTCTTGACTTAATACATATTTATCTCATAAAAAATGATTTGAAAAACAGGAATAGATGTTACCAAGAGTGTCAGAGGTGTTCCAGCCAGAGTGACTCCATCTTGAGTGAGGGTTAGGAAAATGATGCTGGGACTTCCTGGGCTGCTTTCCCAGAAAGTTAGGTATTCCTAGCCTCTAGATGTTTACAGTTAAGGGAACAGATTGATAGTGTTTACTAAACAGACCCAGACTTGGGAGTGTCCTTATATCCGATATCTTGAGAACAGAAGTATTCCTAATTTTGCTTTAAAGATAATATTGATTCTTGCAAAATATAGTGATTAAGTAAATTAATCCTTTATCACAAATCCCTGTAGCAGAGCATATCTCCCCATGATTGTTTTTTTTTTTTTATCCTACATAAACGAATATTGTATGGTGGACACATTCCTCCTTTTACTTTTGGAAACGTCCCACTCTGTGTGGATTAGCTGTACTTTGACTACTTTACTTTCCTAATAAACTTGCTTTTGCTTTGCACTTTGAACTCACCCTGAATTTTTTCTTGCATGAGATCCAAGAACCCTCTCTTGGGGTCTAGATCAGGACCCCTTTCCTATAACAAGACTGTCATGAAGAAATTGAAAATCCAAACAGACCAATAACAAGTAAGAAGATTGAATTGGTAATCAAAAATTTTCCAGCAAAGAAAAGCACAGGACCAGAAGGCTTCACTGTTGAATTCTACCAAATGTTTAAAGAATTATTGATATTTATTTTCTAACTCTTCTAGAAAATTGAACAGGTTGTAACATTTCCAAATTTATTTTATAAGGGCAGCATTACCCTGATATCAAAACCAGACAAGGACACTAAAGAAAAACAAATTACAGACCAATATCTCTGATGAACAGAGATGTAAAAATCTTAAGATTAAGTACCAGCAAACTGAATTTAAGAGTTCATTAAAAGGATCATGCACCATGATCAAATGGGATTTATTCCTGGGGTGTAAGAATAGTTCAACCTATGCAAATCAATCAATATGATACAACCTATAAACAGAATTAAAAATATAAATTGTATGATCTTCTCAATGGATACAGATAAAGCATTTAACTAAATTCGATATTATTTTATGTTAAAATCTCTCAACAAATTAATTGTAGAAGGAATGTATTGCTCATCATATTAATGAGTCAAAAAAGAAACAGCATGGCTTTAGTCAATAGCTACCTTAAAAAAGTTGATGGATTTTTCCAAAATTCCATCTTGAAATCATAAGAAGCTATGCTCTTTGAACCAATGTCTATTATTTCACATTTTATACAAATATATATATTTAAATCACAGATTAGAGGCATATTTCCCTTTTTGAAACCTAACAGTTCACACAAATTCAGTATTATTCATAGGTAATGCCACAGTGGATGAGTCCTTACTAACAATATAACTGAAGTTTGCTTTAGAAACCACAGATCTGGCTTGGATTGAAAGTGATAGAATCAGCTTGGTGTGTTTCCTTAAGCTTGTCCCAATTCTTCATTTATTTTTTGTTTTTTCTTTCTTTTTATTTCAATAGCTTCTGAAGTACAAGTGGTTTGTGGTTACATGGATGAATTGTATAGTGGCGAAATCTGAGATTTTAGTGAACCCATCACCCAAGTAGTGTACATTGTACTCAATACGTAGGGTTTTTTTTTTCCAGCTTCTGCAGAATTCAGTATTTTACTAGTACTGTTAATGTTGACATAGAATTACCTCTAAATTCATTATTCAATTGGTTGATCTTGGCTAAGTCCTTCAAACACCTTTATTTTATTTATAGGGAATTTGGGTTAGGAGGAGGTTAAATAATTTGCCAAAGGTCATGGTAGGGAAAGAGAGGGAGAAGAGAATGTTTAAAGCCAGAAAAATGACAAATACTAGGTTTCCTGAATCCTCAGTTGGAGTTCATTCCATTTCACAATGCTGTTAACTAACAGGTGAGACATTTGTAGGTCACGGATACTCAACTAACTACCTGAGGGTGAAAAAATTTGCATACGCAATTTTTTTATGTTGGGTTTCTATAGGACTGAACTACTGGGTTTTCTATATTGTTAAACTTTTAATATGTATGCAATAAAAACTCACATGTGATATAAAAATATAGTTTAATTTACTAATAGTATGTATTTCTTTCCTATTTATGACAAAAAATAAAAAAGTCTTCATCATAGAAAGGAAACAATTCCACTGCTTATAAGCTGTATGACCTAAATCTTGTGTGGTTACCACGAAAACACGCAGATCATATATCCAGCTGTAAGATGCATAATTAACCAAAGGTTCCATTCCCTTCCCCTTTGGATACCCCACCATAGTCATGCCACAACTACATATCCCCACTGTGACTTTCAGTCAATTGCCTAGCATGTCAGGTACTAAATAAGGCAGGCCCACTACAGCGAGATGTGGAAATCCTCCATTGGAGACTTAATCTCATGATATGCACATCGTGGATGTACTAATAAACTAGCTTAATACAATTATTCTTATTTCTCTCTCTCCCTATGACTCACAGGAGTCACATCATTATCAAGATTTGAAGGATCTCTCAAACCTTGCTCATTACATTTTTTGATGTATAATTTCCTTTTGCATCTCTTTTTGGAGGCATGAAGTAACATACAGTTGATCTTACTGTAGTCTGGTCTTGGTTTTTTTTTATGCTTTAAGTTCTAGGGTACATGTGCACAACGTGCAGGTTTGTTACATATGTATACATGTGCCATGTTGGTGTGATGCACCCATTAACTCGTCATTTACATTAGGTATATCTCCTAATGCTATCCCTCCCCACTCCCCCACCCCATGACAGGCCCCGGTGTGTGATGCTCCCCATCTTGTGTCCAAGTGTTTTCATTGTTCAATTCCCACCTATGAGTGAGAACATGCGGTGTTTGGTTTTCTGTCCTTGCAATAGTTTGCTCAGAATGGTGGTTTCCAGCTTCATCCATGTCCCTACAAAGGACATGAACTCATCCTTTTTTATGGCTGCATAGTATTCCATGGTGTATATGTGCCACATTTTCTTAATCCAGTCTATCATTGATGGACATTTGGGTTGGTTCCAAGTCTTTGCTATTGTGAATAGTGCCGCCATAAACATACATGTGCATGTGTCTTTATAGCAGCATGATTTATAATCCTGGTCTTGGATTTTTATATTCATAAAATGTAGAAAAAAATATTCATTTTGCTGATTGAGTAGGATTTCAGTTTAAATTCTTTTTTTTTTTTTTTTTTTTTTTTGAGACTGAGTCTCTCACTGTCGCTCAGGCTAGAGTACAATGACGCGATCTTGGCTCATTGCATCCTGCATCCTCTGCCTCCCTGTTCAAGCTATTCTCCTGTCCCAGCTTTCTGAGTAGCTGGCATTATAGGCGCCTGCCACCATGCCTGGCTAATTTTTTGTATTTTCAGTAAAGACGGGATTTCACTATGTTGGCCAGGATGGTCTCAAACTCCTGACCTCATGATCCGCCCACCTCGGCTTCCCAAACTATTGGGATTACAGGCATGAGCCACCATGCCTGGCCCCCAGTTTAAATTCTTAAAGAAGGCACAGTGCTATTCAAATACACTGTGCATATTTTTGTCTAATCTAAGACACATCATTTATTTTTTCCTATACAATGAAAAACAGAAACTATCAATAAACTGTGAAATCCCAGAAATAATAAAATGCATCACAATTCCAGAGACTTATGTTATTTTTTAACTTTAATGTGTTTTAGAATTAGTAAATTCATCATTATTGTTTTTGTTATGCACAGATATTTTCTCAATACAGATACTGTATAGTATATTTTTCATTTTTCATAGCTACTTTTTTGCTGAATTGTATTTTTTTTTTTGTCTGGAAGAATACATGTTAGTAAAAATCTCTTGCTTCCTTAGTTCTAAACATTTGCTTAAACATCTGGTTGTACATAAGAAGAAACATAACAGTTTAATTATACATACTATACATTTAATTTAGTGCAAGTGCCCTTGAGAAAAAATAGGAAAGTTCTGAAAGCATAACTGATCATTGGATTTTATGAAGTGCTTTTAAAATTTTCAGAGTAACTTTTTCTAATTTATTAACTGATTTCTATCAGAATCCTGGGGTAAATGAGTTTTTATCATCTTTTTGCAGATGGGAAAATTGAAAACTTAAGTAACTTCGTAAGTTTGAACAGAAAAGCAACGAAGGACAGGTATATATGGTCCAAGATTTTGACCACTCGACAGGACTTGTTTAAGTTTTTCTTATGAATGTCTTTTATTAGCTTTCTGAAAACTCATTTTTTAAAGGTAATTACTTACATAAAACTATACTGAGACCATTTTGAAAATCTTACTAGTAACATGGTCTTGTTTTTCAGTTTTAAAAAGTTGAGACAATTAAAAATATTAGTTTAGGGTAAGTTTTCTGAACTTTGAGTTTCTTGGCTTTTATTCATTTGTAAAATGCCACACTGATTATTTAAACTTGGTGATTATATTTTTGACAGCAGTGCTATGGGAACACTGTTAGGAAAAACCTTTAATAACAATGAGATCCGAACACCACTTTGACAATTAAAGCCTTCTAAATAGTGAAATGGCCACCAGGAAGCATCTACTCAGCTGGCATATAGCAGACTAAAGTACATCATTTGCAGGGCATCATATGTGTGAGTCAGGGAAATGCCATTTCATCAGGCCAATTCCTCTTTTTTTCAGTAAGTTTTCATTTTTTTTTTCCTTCTGTCAATCATCTCAAATACTGCAATGCAAAATTTTCAATAAAACTTTTGGACAATTTTATAAGTG
Organism: Homo sapiens; assembly: GCF_000001405.40. Classification (NCBI taxonomy): domain Eukaryota; kingdom Metazoa; phylum Chordata; class Mammalia; order Primates; family Hominidae; genus Homo; species Homo sapiens. The sequence continues at coordinate 85,708,561 of NC_000007.14, forward strand.
TTTTCCTCTTTTTTCTCAGTTTCATATTCTTCCTCTCATTACTTGTTTTTCAGAAAATAATTATCTGTTCTTTCCTAGTCCATTTTTAGATATGTGTGGAAATAGTTCTGCAGTAAGTAATAGTTCTGTAGTAAATTAATTGCTGTGATTGGACAGCAGTCAAACGGCATGGTTGTGTCTTCTTCAAGACCCTTTGGAAGTCTCAAATCTTCTTATGACATACACATGCTTCATCTTGATGAATTGTAATCAATATTTTTTTCTGTTTAGGTTATTAGCAAATAATATTTTCTAATTGTTGGCCAAGTTCCAAATTTACTGCCCCCAATATAACATTTATTTTTTAACAAGAGAAAAATAAATATATTGAATGCATACCATGTTCTTGATGTGTGAGGATTCTTTATTTCTAGCCTTTATTCCTTGAGTTATTATGCTGATATTTCTGTTTATGGGCTATTAGCAAGCTCATTACATCATACACTCATTATTTTGTTTCTAGTTTTGTTTTCTCCTATCTAACTTCTCAGTTAGTGTTTCCTTTATATGCACAGATGCCAGAAATTAGAAAATAACTTCTGATTTTCCTTTTATCCTAACTCTCCTTTTTCTACTCAATTACCTAAGAACTTCAAATTTTGCCTTATTAGCAGTGATTAGATTAAAACCTCTTTCTCCTTCCCATGTCTCTGCTTTTGTTCAGGTCTTATTTTCTACTTGAATAAATGTAACAGATTTTTAACTTATTTGTCTGCTAAACCACTTTAATAATATTCTCCATTTTGGTACCAGATTAACCTTTTTGAAAAAACACAAACCTAGTTATGGTCCTCAACCCCTTTAAAAATCCTTCAGGGCCTCCTTATTTTTGACCTTGTGATTTTTAGTGTTTTTTTTTTTTATGATGTATGAGGATCTTGCTCATTTTTACGGCCCTGCCTGTTGATACATGACTATCAAATTTTATACTTTGGCAATATTCAATACTGGAGATTGTTGCAGAACTACATGCCTTCATATATATGTTTACTATTTTTGATGACTGTACTATGTGGTTCGATAGTCTATGATTCACTTGTTAAAATTTAAATTTTTTATATATCCAGAAATAAGCTGTAATACTTAAGTTTAACATCTAAACTATTTCTGACATAGCCAAGGTAGTAAATGGTAGCTGCTACTACAGAAACACCAAAACCTCAGGGGCTTAACAAGACAACGTTGAATTTATATTCTCGCCAAAACCTCTCCTTCAAGCCAGCTCAGAGTTCCAGGCTACCTCTGTACTGTGGCTCTCCAGCCTCCATAAGACTATTACCAAAGGAAAAAAAGGAGAGAGGGGGAATCTGTCTTGTGATACATAATCAAAAGTCAGACATAGTAATATAGTCTCAAACCAACTGCAAGAAATACAATAAATTAGCACATAGAATATTGTCTGCCATTTTTGCTGACTTGCCTCAACAATTTAATCATAACGCCATCTGTATTTCTTTGCCTGGTTTGCCTTTGTATAATTATGCATGTGTTATATTGTGTTGCAATTGTATGCTTACATTTCTCTCTCTTCTCCTACTTAGAATGTAAACTTTTTGATAATAGAGGAAGTTTGTATTTATCGTGCCTCTAAAGAATCACATAATGGCATATAGTAGGTGATTATGTCTACAGATTGAACTCATACATGTGGATTTGATGTTTCAGTATGATCATGACCAAATGTACTGAGGCAGTTCTATGTATCGACTATATAGAAAACAGCTTGTAGACTTTGAGGATAAAGAGTAGGAAGAAAGAAATTAGAGAGGCTTTTGAATTCTCATATATAAAATTAGATGTGAAATTTTGGTCTATGTCAGTGTGCCTTGTTGTGTGTTTATTATTTAAAACTCGAGTCAACATAGAAACATAACTTATCAGAATAACTTGTGCCACAATTTGTCAGAAATGCCACCATACAATGCCATCATGCACCCTAACATCAACAAACATCGTAGTAAGTCCCTAATGGAAGCAGGAAATTAAATCTGTTTACCCACAGAGTTCCCCACATTTTTATTGCATTTTTGATGTTCTATGTGCATCTCTACTACAATTGTAATTTTGGTCTGTTTGCCATGTATGATGTTGTCTTTTATGTCAGGGAAACCCCTTGGTTATTATAAGCATAGATATCTGGAAATCACACACAAAAAAGATCTTCACTTGGAATACTGACCTTTCTCAGGGCTTGTGGAACTAGACAGTGGTTGGCTTGATGACCTTCCTTCTATGGGACTAGCGGGCAGCAGCTTTTTATCTCCTGAGTATACCACATATGATAATAAATTTTTCCCTTTGTAGAGTGAAGAGCTTTTTGCTTCAGCTTCTATTAATGTCACTATAGAGACAAATCACTGGTTACTTCTTCCGCTATACTGGAAATGAAGTGGATTCTTTTATCAATAATTCTTTTGGGGAAATTGCTTTTGACATACACATTTTAAGTTGCATATGTTTTATTCATAAACACATACATCCAACATTCAAAGAGTGACAGAGTTCATGTTCTAAGATGACAGAAACTCTCTGATGTTTGTGAGCAGTGTGATGATTAATCTGCCAGAGGTATGTGGTACTGAGGAGAAACTGCCGGTAGCAGACCAATATGAGGCTCCTACTATGGTTTGAGATAAGTCACACAGACTGAAACTAGGCTGCTAGCAGTATAAGTATTTAACTGAATCTTGTAAATCACTGAGGGACAAGAGCTTGAAGGAGAAGATTTGAGAGAGAATAACTATTCCAGTTCTCCAGGTAAAGGCATAAGGGAACCAGTAGGAATTTCTCCAACAGCTTTAGGTTTAAATATTGTCATAGGAAAACTGGCTCCAATAACAACTAGCTAGATGAGCAGAAAATTAGTAACTCTCTTTCTCTCTTCATGGAACTGGCCAAAAAATAAAAACCTTTGTAGTCAAATACCTTCAGAGGTTGAAGTGGAATCTCCTACTGCTCAATTTACCCCTATATCCTTAGTCATTGTTCTCAAAACATGCAGGCCATGTTAGAGCGACTATTTTGGATTTGGGGTACAGGTATCCAATGTCAACCACTTTGTTTCAGAATGAGCCTTCCTATTGACAAGTTAAATCCTAATTCCAGACTTTTTATTCTATCTCAGTAAGTTTCCCTTTCTCTGGGTGAGGGTGTCCCTTGACATCCTTTCTTACAAGCATATATCAGTTGGGAACATATGGACCATTACAGAGTTTTGCTGTTTATGAAAATAAAAAGGAAGAAGGATAAAGCCTTGATATTCTCTCCTTCAAATATATTTGATCATTCAAATATTTAACCTACAACCCAAGAGCATTTGTGTTTGCCTAATATTGGGTATTGGAAAAGTCTTAATTACCTAAATATTCTCTTACATCTTTCTTATGTGATAATAAGTGCCAGTTTAATTTATATCTGTATAACTAAGAGGGGTGATTCTAGTAATTCTTTCAAAATAATGACCAGTTAAAGTGACTTCCTCTTTCAATATAGATTGCTAAAAGAACAGTATCAGAAAAGAAAATAGAAACCTTTCCAGTTATTTCAAGTTAGAAAAGACTGACTGCCGGGAATTATTTTCTGTCTTACTCTGTTGCAGAATGATTGGAGCTGATAGATCAAGGGATTGCTATTGCAATTGTCGTTTCAGAGCTCAGGAAGCTTCAGTTGCTAAAACCTATGTTAGTACATCTTTCTCTTAACAGCAGGTTACTAGTCACTGCAATGCTGTGTCCACCAATGTAACTGTTAATAAACATGCACATCTCCAGGATACTGTTCAAAACAGAAACACTTCTCTGTCTTCTAAATCTCAACTGAGTTTGGCAATTGCTAGTACCGAAGTCACATCTAGAAATTGAGTTCTAAGGAACTTGGAAAAGTAGATTTTAAGTTTTCTAGTCTCTCTAATTTCAAGAAAGTGTGGGAAAGCAATTTTTACAAAGTTTTTCAGCCAGTATAGGGAAAAAAAATACTATGCGGAATACCAGCTTAGCCTATCCGGCATAGGCAGATAAACCCTGCAAAAATGAAAAAGATCAAAGTAAGAATGATGAGAAGTGTAAAGGATTATTTTAAATTGAAGAAAGCACATCATATCTAAAGAGGAACCCAGATTTTTAAAATACTAAAAACTTATATATTTATGTAAAATGTTCCATTTAAAAATATATACTCAATTACTTAATAATATTTAAGAAATAAATCATTAAGTCTGGCTCAAGGGCTTTTATTTTTCTGCCTATGACTATATATATTTATAATAAGTTATCAGCAACAGATAGAAAAAACTATTAATTATTTTCATAATTAAGAAATTATATTTGAGGTATACTTAATGCTAATGTGGCTCTAAATGAAAATATATACCTTTGTCATCTTAATCTAATTAACAATGTATGATTTTCTATAAAATTATTGTGCTATTTCAGGTAATCATTTTGTCATATAGTTTAAACAAAAATTTACTAAACCTTTCTTTTTCTGATTTTAAAATCAAATTTACAAATATATATTATATTAATTAGTTATATTTATTCTAAAGAGTAATATCTGAAAACTGAGAAAAACTCAGAAAGAAGATACCACAGAAATACCCTGAAACTATGCTCTAGACTATTGCAAAATGTTTGACCTAATTAAATAAAGTGTGTAACAAGATGATCTTTCTACTCCAATTCTGATGTCTAACCTGCCTTTGGAGATTGTCAGCTGCTGGCATGGAACATGGAAGATGTTTCACAGATTTTTAGCAAAAACATGACTTGTGTTGTAAATGTAATGAGAACCAGTGACCTAACAGCCTGTGTTTTAAAAGCGTATCACATTACAGAACTTCTGAGCCATTCCACTCCTCCAAGGATTTTATTAATTGGGTCTATATGTTTCCAACTGTGCTTTAAAAATACATTTTTAAATAATGACAAATGTGATATAAATCAATTTTTCTGGAGCAGAAACTATTTTTAGTCTTGTTGGAACACCTGCAAGTTTTAGGTCTTAGATCTTGAGCCAAACACAGTATTTTTGGCAATCATCTCTATGCTCATCACACCTACAAAGATTTGAATCAGATAGCAGATATTAGACTTGTTACCAGAAAATTTATGCTGACTACTTTTTCTGTCTATCACATTGAATCTACTCTTTGTAGCACTTAGGACAATAAAAGATAAGTAAACTCTTAAAAAACAAAAAAGTTACTGTAACACAATATCAATGATTATAGGTTTATTAAATAGTTTAAAAGAACTTGAAACATAGGCACATCAATTAGTCTATCTATTTATACACATAATTATCACTTACCAAATATCTTTGTTATGGGCAAAATCTGGGTCTCTCTGTGGACAAGGCCTTTCATATGGCTTAGTAACCATACAATTCAATGATTAAATTGGGACAGTTTTGAGAATGAAATGGGACTATATTCCTAACTTACCAAAGTGGCAGACCTGGTCTAGATCTGTTCCAAGCAAAGTTGGACATAAGTCTCCCACATATTGTGTATATTAGGGTAATGAAAGGTTCATCCTTCCTTCCAAGCAGAACTCACACAAGTCCTATTTGTACCTGACATTACAGAATTGCCTTTGTATATCCTTTCCTTGAATAGGGCTTTCAACTGCCAAAAAATAAATTCCAGTGGGAAAGTTGACATAAGTGTTTTTGTTTGTTAGCTGAAATGTAAATGAGGTCATCAGCTGTTATCCTGAGAGCATTTCTTGAGAGACTACCTAAAGTTTGAGTAAGCAAGAGAGGTGAAATGTACAGAAAGTAAAGGCTGGGGAACTGAAAACAAACTTTATGACTTCAATATAGTGCGATTTACTGTATCTGAGAACTGTGAAAACCAAAATGCAAATGTAAAACATAAGTCACATGAAGAACCAGAAAATAAAATGCGATGGATTGAGTCAAGTGTATTACCACTTCCAGAAAAACAAATGAAAGTTCATATACTTCTGTTGGTGTGTTAAAAGGGTTGACTTTATATATGTAAGATGGCATCATGATGCTAGCTATTGATTTTTTTTTTTTAAGATGGTGTTTTGCTCTTTTGCCCAGGCGGGAGTGAAGTGGTGCAATCTCGGCTCACTGCAACCTCTGCCCCCAGGTTCATGCGATTCTCCTGCCTCAGCCTCCCAAGTAGCTGGGATTACAGGTGCCTGCCACCTGTACCCGGCTAATTTTTGTACTTTTAGTAGAGATGGGGTTTTGCCACGTTGGCCAGGCTGTTTTCGAACCTCTGACCTCAGGTGATCCACCCGCCTCGGCCTCCCAAAGTGCTAGGATTACAGGCCTGAGCCACCGAGCCCGGCCTTGATTGTGTATTTATGTTAGGTTCCATTACTTATTGAAAATTGGCCAGTATTATCATGAGTTAAATTTTCATTTGAGAGCAAAATAAAATATTCTGTTTTGAGCAGGTTGAATGAAGTTAAAAGCTTAGAGATATTACAGCACTTAACACTAACATAAAACTGAGTACTTTTGTGAGAAACAAGGTCAAGTTTTCAGACTGCTTGAAGAAGCCAAATGGTAATGTGGTCCATCTGGATTTCTCGAAACTCAAGTGGAAACTCTTAGGCATTTTACTGATAAAAAATGGACTGTAGGATGTTAGCTAAAATATAGTTAAACATTCATAAAGCCTTTCCAACGAAGCATTTACAGTATCAAAACATACACTGACATTCACAGTATTTCATCTGTTCACAGAACCTCCTATTAATAGGTTTCCAAATAATTTGCTACAAAAGAAGATTCTATATTGATTTATAATTATTCTCTAAAGTATACTATGTTTGTGAATATTAACATAGGACTCTTATCAAATACAATGATCAAATTAGTTTTCATAATCCTATTAAATATAGTAAATGCAATTGAATATAATTGAGGAGCAAATTAGAGTAAATTTTCCCACTTGAAATATGATAGATGTCATTTTAGACAGGCCTAACCAAACTCCAGGTGTGAGTTTTTGTTTCTTAAAAAAAGCAAGCATTTCTACAAATTTAACTATAAGAGTATATAGAAGTATATTGTGATAGAGATTGTTACCTATATACTGTCAATTTCAATTGAAATGTTTAAAATATTATGATTATTCTTGGGTTTCTTGCTAATTCAAAACCATTTGTGTCTGGAATAGATAAACCAAATTGCATACCATTACTTTAATAACATTTATTATAATTAAGAAAAAACATATATATTTACATCTGTTTATCTATCTGAAACCTTACCTGTTATTCATAAATAAAAATATAATTTTACTTAATATAAAATTATTTTATATAATATAATAAATATTACAAAATATATATAAATTTATTTTTTTAAGATTAGTCACATAAATTTTTTTCAATATTATCTGTATAATCGTATGGAATATATGTCTACAAATTTTCATTTTTATTGCCTCACACTGAAAATTAAGATAATATAATGAATTTGTGAAGTATTTCCTGAATCCCTAAGTATTCTCCTTTTTCTTAGCCAAGTAGAGTTGGTTTTCTCTTTGTCATGTGCCCATTTGCCCTCTGCTCATATTTATACACACAAAGGTCATACTGGTTTACAGTGTATTTTTAACCTAATTAGACTATTAACTCATTGAGAATAGAAGCTATCTTTCTTTCAGAAGGATTTTTCCCTCCTGACTACTCCTTAGCACAGTTTAGCACAAGATTGATACTCAATAAATCTTTTTTTACTTTAAACTTTTTATTTTGAATACTTTAAAATTTACTAAATGTTTGCAAAGATAGTTGAAGGAAAGTACACTTTCCATTCGGCTTTCCCTAATGCTAGCAGAATGAGTACCATGGTGCTTTAGTCAAAAGTAAGACTCTGCTAACTAAACTGAAGACCTTATTTGATTTTTATCAGTTTATGCACTAATGTCATTTTTTCTGTTGTATGATCCAGTCCAGCATACCATACTGCATTTAGTCATCATCTCTCCTTAGTCTCCCCAGATAGTAACCGTTTCTCAGTCTTTCCTTGTTTCTCATGACCTTAAATGAAAGAGAATTTTGCTTAAACAAATAAATGTCTTGCATTGAAAATCAACCAATCTAGCTTACACATTAAGTGTTTTGTATATAGTTATGTGATATATAATAAATGCTCATTCTATTATGTTATTATTATAAAATATCTTGTAGATATTATGTAATATAGCTTAAATATTTATATAAAGGCAAATGTAGTAAGAAAAGTTAAACTTTTTATTCTAATTGTAAATTTTAAATGTACAAAATATTTCTAAAGATAAATGATTATGGACTTCTTCAGGGAATAGGAATTAAAAACCAATAAGCCATGTAATGGTAGTGAGACTAAGATAGAATGGATTAGGGTTAAGAGCATCTACTTCAGATTCAGAAAGACTTGGATTTTGTTATCAACTTAGTCATTAACCAGCTGTGGACTTAGATGGGTTATTTCATCTTTCTAAAACTTAATTTTGTCTTATTTAAATAAAGGTAGTAATGTTACCTACCTCATAGATTTATTTTAAAGATTAAATGGTATAATAAATGTATCTTTGTAAATTAAAAGTAGCTTTTAATATATGTAATTAATAGGCGAAAGAAAGCAGGAAAAGGATATAAAAAGAAATAATAATTTAACCATGTTAAAAAAAACTTATTAAAACTGACCAAATTAGAAGAGATCATACAGTTGCTAAGGAGAAAACCCAGACAATTGATTTGTTATCTGTTGACATTTAATATCAGAAAACTGTATAATTATAGTCTTCTTTCATAATGTTTTAGTGTTTCCTTGTAAATTAATTTATCTTAATAGAGAACTTCAATATTAATGCAACACACACTAATGAATATTCCAACTTTTTTTTTTTTTTTTTTTTTTTTTGAGACGGAGTCTTGCTCTGTCGCCAAGGCTGGAGTGCAGTGGTGTGATCTCGGCTCACCGCAAGCTCTGCCTCCCAGGTTCATGCCATTCTCCTGCCTCAGCCTCCCGAGAAGCTGGGACTACAGGCACCCACCACCACGCCCGGCTAATTTTGTGTATTTTTAGTAGAGACGGGGTTTCACTGTGTTAGCCAGGAAGGTCTCGATCTCCTGACCTCGTGATCCGCCCGTTTCGGCCCCTAAAGTGCTGGTATTACAGATGTGAGCCACCGCACCCGGCCCCAACATGTTTTAACAGTTTCCTGTGACACCAATGAACTCAAGAAGAAGAACAAGAATTAACTATTGGCTCAATCTCCAGGCACAATCTTCAGCAAATTTATTCATCGTATAAGAGTCATATGTTTTATGTGCCACAAATAAAAAGTATACTATGCTAAAAATATTTTGCATAGGAAATTTATCAGAAAATAGAAAAAAAATATTTTTGTAAATCTGTTATTTCCCACACTAGCAATTTAGACGGGTTTCACATCCATTGCTTCTGGCTATTTCAGTTTGCTGCAGAAAGAAGAGTCCCAGCTTCATGTATCAGTTTTCTGTTGGAGTTTTACTCCCAAATTCAAACAGAATCCCAATAAATGTAATTGATAAGAAAGGCATAAATTGATGATGGAGAAGAAACAGACTGAAAATAGTAATATCCTAACATTTGTATGTTGTTTATATATTTCAAAGCTTTTAAAACATTTTCTCACTTTATGTGTATCTGATCTGTTAAACTAATCAGGAGAATAACATTGGATTATATATGTAATAGGAAAACTGAGTACAGGCATATTAACTTATTATTTCTGTTACCCAGGGATTTCCTGACAAAGCTGGTACTAAAACTTGGTTTTATTTAATCATAATTCTGTTTTCTTCCTTAGACCATACAAGAAAATGTTTTTGTTGAAGTCAATCATCTGGAATGGTATCTTTTCCCACTACTTGAACACACACAGAGGTCTAACCAAAGGCCTTTTTTGACTCCATAGACAAAACTGATTCTCAGGAACATCAAAGATATATGGATCAGAGAGAGTGAAAGACTCTACAAACAGCAACATTACCAATAGAATGGGAAATGTATGCATATCTTGTTTAACATCTTATGCAAAAAAAAAAACCTATTTGTGTAATTAATTGTACAAACTTTTCTTCTAAAATCAAGTAAGCAAGCAGAAGTGCTTCTTAATTTTTTTTTTAAAGTTCACAAATACCTGGAACATTACTAAATGTCAGAGCTGCTAGCTCTTATCTCTCTTATAAGAAGATGTCAATCCACTTAGAAATATAAGACTAACATATATGCATAACTGTAGTCGAATATTAAAAACTAACATATTTGACAAAATAGTATATTAATATGGCTATATTATACTCCCCACTGAATGATGTAAGAGATCAGAGGGAGGGAAAATCAATGAGAAGATGAGCAATCAGGGGAGGTTTCCTGTTAAAAATTTGAAGGAGGCTTAGCCAAGGAGAGGGTGGAAGGTATTCAATACTAAGGAAATATAAAGAAGTACAATGATATGAATGAAAATTTGGAAATACCAGTGTCTGGAGATAAATTAAAAGAATCTTGGTCTGAGTTTGGTGGCTCAGGCCTGTAATCCTAGCACTTTGGGAGGCCAAGGCAGGAGGATTGTTTGAGCCCAGGAGGTTGATATCAGCCTGGGCAACGTAGTGAGACCCCATCTCTACACAATTTTTTAAAAATTAGCATGGCAGCTGGGCAAGGTGGCTCGCGCCTATAATCCCAGCGCTTTGGGAGGCCGAGGTGGGCAGATCATGAGGTCAGGAGATTGAGACCATCCTGGCCAACATGATGAAGCCCCATCTCTACTAAAAATCCAAAAATTATCTGGGTGTGGTGGCTCATGCCTGTAGTCCCAGCTACTTGGGAGGCTGAGGCAGGAGAATCGCTTGAAGCCGGGAGGTAGAGATTGCAATGAGCTGAGATCGCACCACTGCACGCCAGCCTGGCGACAGAGCGAGACTTGGTCCCCCCAAGCCAAAAATAAACAAACAAACAAACAAACAAACAAACATAAATTAGCCTGTCATGGTATGGTGGCACACACCTGTGGTCCCAGCTACTCGGGGGCGAAGTGGGAGGATGGAGACTGCAGAGAGCCGTGATCCCGCCACTGCACTGTAGACTGGGTGACAGACCAAGACCCTGTATTAAAAAAAAATTAAAAAAAAAGAAAGAAACTTAGAATTTTAGAGCTTGAAGGGACTTCAAATATTATACAACCCAATCTCCTGTTTTCTCAGTTTGGGATCCTAAGAATAAGAAAACAGAGGTGACTTGCCAAAGACACACAGCTTGTTAATGATTCAGTTGGTATATGAATGTGGGTCTCTTGATTTTCACAGTCCAGTGCTTTTAAAAATAAATAACAAGTTAAATTTTACTAGTTCACATTTAATTCAATGTGAATGGAGCAATTAAAATTAAAGACTGGAAAGGGGAGACTGGCAAACAGAGGGCTTGGAAATATGTTGTTGCAATTATTGTTAACCTGTGAGAGTTTCACTTATCTTCCTGTTTCTGGCAGGAGTCGGTATTTCTGAAATCTAATGTGGCCTCATGCAATTATTTGGCATGAAATGACCTAAAGAGTGCCAGAAATATCATGAGTGAGACTGTACAGCAAAGTTTCCACCCCATTTTCAGTGCTAAGATTCAGTTTGCTTAAAGCTTCTGATGAGAGGTCCAGGCTTGGAAGTTCTAATGCACATGTGTTAGATGGTAATTGCATCAGAAGGGCAGGCAGGGTTACAATTTCACCATGCAGATGATTCTTTCTGCTATCTTGATGACTAAAATGTGTATTGAGGTATAAACTTGTCAAAGTGGTAAAATATACACTATGAAATTCACAGTAACTAATACAAAGGCAAATAATGATTTTCATGATTAGATACGTTAGGAAACTAACTCGACTAATTCAGTAAAACCTTATATATACAATGAATATTTTTTATTGTTTCCTGTGTGCCAGGTACTCATCTAGGTAATCATGACACATGGATGAACAAACACTTATAAAGTCCTGTTCTAATGCAGCTTCTGTTAGTGGAAACTTATATTCTAGTTCATCTTCTGCATTCTAGAAAAAGTGTCAAGAAAAGAATATGAAAAGGTGAGACAAAAGTGACCTTTTGCTTACAAATTCATTCTAAGAGGAAAGGCTGATATAAAGACTTAAAATTACAAAACAACAAGGCGTGATTACCAGCTGAAAGTGTATTGTGTCACACATAGCACAGAAGAAAGAGTGAGTCACACTATTGGGTAAAAAACAGAAAGAGTTTTGCTAAGAAATAGGCTCTATTTTGGCTGCATTTTGAAAGCAGGGTTAAAAGTTGCTAAAATAAAATTGAGTATGTTAGCAAATGTACAAAATCTAACAATTTTGGAGTGGAGATAAAGGGTTATTTTAACAACAAGCAAAATTTTGTCTTACAAAATTTTACATTCTTCTTGCTTCTTCCTTTTATCCCTCTTTGTATGAAAGCATTATAACCATTATAATGGAACCCTTTACAAGATGTATTGGATAATTGGATGTAATGAATGCATATTAAGAATGTTGTGCATTTACTTAGTAAAATATAGTTCATTAAATATAATATTGAGATATAACAATTACTTCTTAAAATTTGAGTCTTTTTTGTTGATTACTGCTCATGATTTCCACATTAACCTTAAGGCATAGAACGGAATTTACATACCATAACAGCAGTGGGCTCAGATGTAATCAATTTTTACATTAGGTTATTAACATCTCTCTAATCGTCTACTATGTTATCTGCAATTTTTATCCAGCCAAGTTAAAAAATAGCCAAAAGGAACACAATACTTAAAAATTGCTAAATGTAGAGGGGAGTCATGTCCTGGTCTACTTTTAAAAGGCATATTCAAATAATCGAAAATTTATTTGGAAATGCAAGTGGATAAGTTGTATCAATTTTGGCAGCTAAATATGACTTAAAAATAATTTTGGAACTTCACAAGCCCACCCAGTATTTTGATTTATTTTCAGTAGAGCGCTTAATTTTTCTAATGAAATATCCATGACACCTAATAAAGATAAAGGTATCCGGTGACTTTAGAAACTCCCACAACATTGGAGAAAAATCTGAATGAAAGAGAAAATAAAGAAAATGGGTTTTTAATATGAATTGTTGGTAAGTCTAGCTTAAAATTGTGCTGATCTGTAAGTTAAAAGTTGTTTTTGTGGTTCTCAGTTTACCTAAAATGAATTTCAGAGAGTAATAGTAACTGTTTAACAGAATGTTTGAAAAGCAATAGCTCATCATATAAAGAGTAGAAATTGTAAAAAGTTGAGACACTTTGAAATAATGTATCAAATCTGTGTGTGGTTAAACATTAGAGTAGAGAAAATGTACAAAGAAGTAACATTACAGGGAATATATGGACACAGATGAGTCCACAGACTGTGCAAGCATGTCTCTCTCCATGAGTTATCATCATATGACCACTTATACACTAAGCTCAGGGGTAGACTGAGAGGAGTGTAGACTGAAGGGGAACTGAGTCAATCCCATTCGAAGACGCATGCTTTGCAGGCATTGATTTTATTCTAAGGAATTCTATATTGTTGTTTTCTTTTTTTAATATGAAGAAATCCTGAGTAAGGGTGAAGGAAAGATATCTGAGAAAAATGATTTTGTTTTGTTTTCCTCTTTGATTAGAATTACATGGGATATTTCAGTTTAGTATTTTCCCTTTGATACAAGAATTAGAGTGGCTATATTTGGTTATTTAAAATAACTTTTCCAAGAATTATTACCCTTTCTTTGAAATGAATTATTAGATCTCTCTAACTGGTCTCCTCTCCTCACTTATAAAGTTGGTTTCTCTGAGACTTAAATGAGATAATCTACTTTAAGCATAATTAAGTGTTCCCTAATAATTTTAATAAAATAAATGGGAAGCTGTGGATATCCCTCTGATTCTCTAAAGGGATTATTTTGTTTTGTTTTGTTTTGTTTTGTTTTGTTTTGTTTTTGAAACAGGTACAACCCAAAATATTTAAAACTTTAAAAAATATATAAATATTAGTTTCCTACTATGCATAATGCTAGGTTCTATATAAATTACAGAATTATAGCTTATAAACTTTAGCCCCAAATTGTAATCTCTTAATATACTGTAATCTAACTTTAGAGATGATAAACTAGGCTAAGATTTCCTGCTACATGATGCAGATTTTAGTTAGTAGCATGACTTCTTACAAACTGAAAATTTATCCTGGTAATATTTTCTGGGTTTCTATTATATTCTATGGTTAGATAACTATGCCAATGAAACCCTTTTATATCCATAAACAAACCTCCTTGAATATAATCCTATAGAAACCAACTTTATCATCACTAAGCCAAAACACAATATGGTGAAGCTATAAGGCACATTTTACTCAGCATTCTAATAAGTATGGAAAGCCAACTTCGAGGACAGAAGGTTCTTAGGAAGCTACACTCATTCTTTTGCATATTATTTTGAACATTCAAAGGAATGTTTACTAAATGTCACCCTAAATGTCTAAATGTCACTAAAACTTTCTCTACTTCTAAAAATTCATGATTCTATGATTCTGTAATTTAGCCTAGAAAAATACTCTTCAAAACATAACTTGGGCCATTCAGGAAATAATACCACAAAGCCAGTCATGTTTGTGCTTCTGTCTTTTGGACAGACCACTATTTATTTTTACAGCTTTCCCCCTGATGGACCTATATGGGAGGGGGAGATAGCAAAATAGGATCCTCATTATTGTCAGTTCTTAGTTTTTGCAAACTTGGAATTCAATTGGTTGAAAATCATTGATTTAACCTGACTCTAGTAAGTTTGTGTTGGACTAAGGTTGGTAAGTAAAATAAAATATTGGACATAAAATTTCTATGACATTTCCAAACAATATAAACCCTTTTTCTTCTTTTATTTAAAGCACCCTCATGAACTGTGACTTGAGTTGGATTAATTTTTCTCTGTAAATTGGAAAGTGCAGTAAAAGGAAAAATTTTAAGTGTCTCTGATTTCATATTTTTAAAGCTACAGTTAACTGATCAAAAAATGGAAAGTGAAACATATCAAAGTGTGTGACATCAGCTCCAACCTGTAATTAATTACATCTCCATAGCCTAAAAGTGTAACCAATTATCAAAGATCCTTGCATTTTTGAACCATTGGTGAGTGGTTCAAAACATGTATTGTATATACATATATTTATGTTTATAAACATATATGTATGTTTATGTTACAAAATATGTATCTATTATAGATGTTGTGTATTATAATGCATACATAAATATATAATACATTCTTAGTATATATTTCAACATAAGCACCAGATTAAACTAAGGAGACTGTTAGCAAATAACACTACTTAACATGTTTTGAAATAATTTTCTTTGTAAACATTTTATTTTCAAAAATATAAAACAATCGAATAATTGACACGTCATAACCCTGATATCCTTCTTAATCATGAAATAGGTTCAGTTATTTTAGAATTGAGAAGTTTATCAAGCAAACTTAAGGAATAATCAATATAAATCTCTCCCAGATTTCATTTTATCTCAGGTAAAAAGTTGTAATGAAGTTATCAGCAGTCCCCAGAGAAGCTACAAAGTTTTTTTTACACATTTCAGAGTAATCAAGATTTGAATAAATTTTATTAAATGTGTAAATTGGAGTAATACTATAAGATCATAAAAATATAGCATTTTGTTGTAATTAGGTATTTTGGAATTTTAGGAATACAGGCATTATAAAATTTACAGCTGTGCTGCTTTGGGAATAGTGATTTGTGCATTTTACTAAAGAAATGGTGTCTAAATCCTTTTGTGAAGGTAAATTATGATTTTTTAAGGGAAATCCTTAACTAAATGTCATGAAAATATGCCTGAAAAACATATTTTGTTGTTGTTGTTGTTGGTTTATTTGTTTTTACTTCAAAATAAAGTATCAAATCAAGTCACATTAGATTGAGACTAAAAATTGCTTCAAGAAACATCATCATACTACCTTTTGTGACACAAAAGGGCTTAATCTTAATATCCAGAAGGAATATTTTCTTTTGGGGTGGAGAATGTGATGAAAAGTCAATACTAGCTGTACCTATACCCTGATTCTTTTATTATCTGAGGGACATAGAGAGTGGAAAAATAAACATTGGAGACTTGGAAAAGTGAGAGGGTAGGTGAGGGATGAGAAATTACCTAATGAGACAATGTACACTATTTTAGTGATGATTAATCTAGAAGCTGAATCTTTACCACTACGCAGTAAATGCGTGTATCAAAACTGCACTTCTATCCTCTAAATCTATAAAAGAAAAAATACATATAACACAATAATAATAATAATAATAATAATAATAAGTAAAAAGGGGTAATGGTGGGGGGAAAATGCTTGGATCATTCTTGGTTTGTTTCTCCCAGTGATATGGCTACTGATGCAGAATATGCACTTTAGACTGAAAAATTTTATTCATTGTGCTTGAAATTCCAGGAAGAAAGATGGAATGTCATTCTTCATCTCCCCAGTTGTCAGTTGTAAATTTGAAAAGTTATATTGGGGTTTCCATTGAATTATGTATCAAAGTGGTTTTCCTGTTAAGTCTAGCGGGAATCTGCTGAAGAAAGGCCACAACAGAATCCTGGAAATCAATACGGAGCATTTTGTGTCAAAAGTACTTTCTGTCAACCTAGAGTACATTTTGCTCAAAGGAGATGACTGGTTCAGGCATAGATAAACTATTATTAGAGAGACACATCCTCAGAGGCCTCATTGCATTTATTTGTTGCTTTTAATTTTGTTTTTAATCAACTATACCTATCCTTATTAACATGACCTTTGTACATGGCTTGGTAAATTGAAAATATCTGGAATTTAACAGTAACTTTCCCCACCTGATTAGGGTGATCAGGATCATTTTCAGAATGCAAAATTTGAATATATATGTTTCTGATTTATTTACAGTTAATTCAAAAATAGTTACTGTTTCAGAGCAGTTTAGGGTCCAAGAATGCTATGGACAAAAATGAAAGGTCATCTATCCTCTTTCCTTTAGGTTTAGAATTATTTTATTGTATCCACCCTCTCTCATTTAACCTCATCTAGTTTTAGTAGTCACAAGGTTTCTTTTACTTCCCCAGGGAGATAATGCTATAATCTAATCATTTTTTGTGGTTTCCCTAAAATTTAATGTTAATTACTTTGTGGTTTTTTTCTATACTCAACAAAATATACATATTTTATTTTTTATACTATTGTAAGTCATTTATTCTCTTCCAAAGGATACATAATATTATACTCTTGGATAAAAACAAAAAGCAGTTTTTGACATTTTCTTTGTAATGTTTCAAATAATTATTTTATTTGTCAATGTATGCTGTTGTGCTGAAGTGTGTGTAAGGCTTTAACAGGCTAATATGGTTTTAAACAGAATCTATATAAAAGGTCAGGGGTAGAGGCTGGGGGTGACTAAATACAGTATTAAGGATGCAACTATTTATATGCTCTAGGTAAAAGAAACATTTATACTCAGTATCTTTACTTAACTTTAGTAAATGTTTCATTTTATCTACTCTGATCCATTCTTTCAAGTCCATTGAGTCAACCGATGTTAATATTATATTATAATCCTTCACTAATGTATTTCTGTAAAAAAAAAAAACTCTTTTGAATTTGGCCATCATATCATATGCATATTGTATGCATTCTTATAGCCCTTGTATTTGCATTATATCTCCAATTTTTTGCTTATAATCTCGGTAAAGACAAGCCTTTGACTTAGGCCTACAAATTTTTATTATTTTTTAGTGTTTACAAAAAGCATTCATATACATTTACATGCATATGTATAGAGCTATATTATCTCAAGTTTCTTTTCACAACAATTCTGTCCAATAATTGTTTAACAGATTTTTTTATTACTTAATAAATATGGAAACAGAGATTTAAAAGAGGTTAAAAAACTTGAAGAAGGAATCATATCTAGTAAGTAGTAAGACTAAAACTGACATCGAGGTTTTCTGATTTATCTCATAATGAGAATAATGATGATGATAACTAAAATTTATTAAATGTTCATCACGTAAGAGATACTGAGCTATACCTAACATAAACAAAATTTTTTTACTACTCTATTATAGTGCTCTTTCCTTTCTCCAATATCTAATATAATCCATTAACAATGTGGAAACCCAGTAAGTATTTTTTATTTAGAAATTTTCCTTATTAGATCTGAATCATCTTTAAATTTCTAGATGTCGCTATAGCTTTCCTAGCAGAAAATAACTTCATTATAAGCTTTTCAGGCAGACTGAATATATAATCTTTGTAATTCCGGTCATTTGGTGGTACAAACTGTATGTAGCTGTGTCAAAAAAAGGTGGGCAACATATTACGAAATATCACTATGTATTAGTTCACATTTTAGCCACAAATGACAATTTGTCTATCTCCCAGTTTCCTTTTCAAGCTATTTTTTTTTCTTTTTCTTTTTCTTTTTTTTTTTTTTTGAGATGGAGTCTCGCTCTGTCGCCCAGGCTGGAATGCAGTGGCTTGATCTCGGCTCACTGTAAGCTCCACCTCCTGGGTTCATGCCATTCTCCTGCCTCAGCCTCCTGAGTAGCTGGAACTACAGGCACCCACCACCACGCCTGGCTAATTTTTTGTATTTTTAGTAGAAACGGGGTTTCACCGTGTTAGCCAGGATGGTCTCGATCTCCTGACCTTGTGATCCGCCCGCCTCGGCCTCCCAAAGTGCTGGGATTACAGGCGTGAGCCACTGCGCCTGGCCTCAAGCTATTTCTACCTTATTATCAGCCCTGTTGAAACCTCATTGTTCGACGTGGCCCTTTGTGAAAACAATCATACCATATATTTCCAAATAAGCCCAGGCCTAAATTACACTAATTATTCTTTGCATTTTTTGGCTAATTCCTCCTGTCTCAAATTCCCAGTAAGAGAACATCTTTTCACCTATAACTGTCCCTGACTCCATCCACCAAAGCCTCCCACCCCACTGTCAGTTCATTTTCTGTGAGAGACTTCTTTCTTCAGCCTTTGTCTAGAATGTTCTTACTCTTTTTAACATTGAGCAATTTTCATTTTCCAGTTGGTATTTGAGTCTCCTAGAATCTTTCAGTCCATTTTTAATAGAATCATATATTTGATAAATAGGGGAAATTTATGTATCTTATGAATACAGAAAAAAAAGGACTATAGGGATTAAACACATGTCCCAGTTGACAAATTTTGGAATCTCTTTTTCTTACTTGTTTTATAGTTCCGTCTTACCCCATCTGATTTTCCTTGGTATTTATTTTTCCTTTCCTAGGCACAAGATGTATTCTTTAGCATTTCAACACCTTCTACCCTATTATAAAATCATCACTCACAAAATTTTACTTGAATCACATGTATATGTTTTTGTTTAATGTAAAGAGAAGGCGTGTATATAATTAGAGGATAAATTTGAGTAATATGATTTTAAAAATGATTTTCAACATTTGATATTAGAAAGTACTTTTTTACTTTATCAATTTATATCATTTTGTATTATATCATTTTGTATTCTACTTTAAGTAAATGGAATTCAATTTGTATTTTAGTTTTGAAATATGAGACATAACATAAAATATAAATCCTAATTTAGCATTATCTGAAATGTCATAAATATGAGATTGTTTCACTTTTCCATGTCATTAATACATTTTGGTATTAAGACCCCTGCTTTCACTAGCCTATTAATCATGTTTGAATGCAATTGTTCTTAGCTCTAAAAAAGGGCTTTTTATGTTGTTATCTATTTTTATTTCAATTAATATTTATTTCCCTTGACAATGAATACAATGAATAACTAAGTCAAATAAAAATAATTTCTATAAAATAAACTAAAAGTAATATGTATTTACTTTGATCAAAATGTGTCTAAAGCTATCCTTTATTATCTGCAAACTCTAAGAAAAAATAAGGCTCTCTGCTCATAATTACACTATTTTCTGAGCTGTTAGTGTCAGATTTGCACATTTCTAAAAGTAACAGTGTTATGTTTTGTTGTAAGATTCTGCTCTGTTTCAAGTTACTGGTATGCATCTTTCTCTCCTAATTTTGTGTCCTCATTAAAACCCTCCCTTTCAGAAGATAATACTGTATCTTCTGGATTTGACATGAGATTGTCTAGTTTTAACCTATTATTTTGAATATGAGAAATTCAAGATGCAACATAAACATTTACATATATATAAGATTTGCTTAAGGTCATACAATTTTCAGACATTGGATTAAGGACCATACTTCCATTTTGTTTCTGAAAACCCAAGAAGTCATACAGGATTTTTGTATTTGTTCTTATGCACCTTCCAGAATCATTCACTAATTTGCAGTGCCCAGAATGTGGACATAAGCAGTTTGAGATCTTGGTGAGATTTGGCCATTTATCTGTACCACCATTTTTTATTTTCCATTTTTTTAAGGTGGTGATGTAGCAGGCAAAGTAATAGTCTCTAAAACATGTCTACATCTTAATCCTTGGAATCTGTGAATATATTGTGTTATATGGCAAAGGGGAATTAAGATTTCAGGAAGTAAGATTGCTAATCATTTGACCGCTGAATAGAAAGTCACAAGTGTAATTATATGTGGAAGCAGGAGGCAGGAAAGTTAGTGTCAGAGTGATGAGATGTGAGAAGAACATGGCCTCCCATTGCTAACTTTGAAGATGATGAAAGGAGGCTACAATCCAAGAGATGTTGGCAGCCTCTAGAAGCTGAAAATGGCAAGGAAACATCTTAACTTAAAATGCCTCCAGAAGGGAACACGGACCTGATGACACTGACTTTTAGTTCAGTAAGACCTGTTTCAAACTTCTGACCTCTAGAACTGTAAGATAAGTTTGTGTTGTTTTAAGCTACTGTGTTTGTGGCAATTTGTTACAACAGCAATAGAAAACTAATACGGGTGGTAATCCTTCTTAATGTATGTTAAAATGTGAAAATCTCATTCATTGGAAATGATCCATTAGTGAAGTATTCAGAGAAGACTCTTTTCCACTGGTTCCCTTAGTAGTTTTCCCAAAGTCTACCTCTTTTTTGATGGAGGCACAGTGAATAGGTTTTAACTGTAGTTGACCCTTGAACAACATGGGCCTGAACTATGTGGTGGATTTTCCTCTGCCTCTGCCGCTTCTGAAACAGCAAAGTTAACCATTCTTTTTCTGCTCCTTCTCAGGCTATTCAACATGAAGACCAAGAGGATGATCTTTATGATGATCCATTTCTTCTTAATAAATAAAAAATATATTTTCTCTTCCCTGTGATTTTCTTAATGATATTTTTTCTATTTTACTTTATTGTAAGAATACGGTATAAAACACACATAACATATACAATATATGTCAATTGGCTGTTATTGGTAAGGCTTCCAGTCAACAGTAAGCTGTTAGTAAACAAGTTTCTTGAAAATCAAAAGGTATAGACAAATTTTCAACTGCACTAGAGGTCAGTATCCCTAACACTGCATTCTTCAAGGGTCAACTGTATTTGCATTGTAAAAAATAACAATAAAAAAAAAAGAGGTCCAAAACATGGGTGTGTGCTCTGGCATTCGGCCCAGGCAGTGTGATTTCAGACAGCTGGGATTGCAGTTTTTGTAGACAACAGATAATTGTGACGCTGGGACTAGAGAATCATTCAGGCAGCAGGAGTTTTCAAATAAAGACAAAGTGGGCTTTAATTTCTTTATGGTATACTATCATATGATTCCTCTGGCTTCAGATCCTGCACCTATGAATTAAATATGATATCTTACAGTTGTACAATCAAACTAAATAATACATATACAATGCCTTGTGCAAAAGCTCATGTGTAATAAACATTTAAAAACAAATATTTTGTGATACTTTGGGTCCTGGACCAAAGAATTTAGTTTATTCTTACCTGGGTGCATATGCCCTCTAGGAAAGAAAACAAACAAAGAAAAAAGGCGTTGTAAAATCAGTTTTTTTCCCTAAGGTTTGTGACTACCAAAACAATGGAAAAGAAAACATGCGTTAGCCTTCTTTTACCATTCCCCCAATTTTTTTCTCTATTAATATATTAACAAAAACAATGTAGAGATGTTTAATATTGTCTTTATTTCTATTCTTTAGTCAAAATAAGGATGAAATTGTAGAAATGCTTTCTTTTTGGAAAGACACACCAAATTCATCCTGGTGTAGAGAATGATTAGGAGTACAAGTAAGTATTTCAAGATGGTATTGCTTCAAGTTCTAATTTTTGGAAGCCAGTATTTTGATGTCAGTAATGATCATGATTTAATCAGGAAGAATTTTCTTATTGCTGTTTACTGTTGCAGGAAGTCAGGGACCCCAAATGGAGGGACTGGCTGAAGCCATGGCAGAAGAATGTGGATTGTGAAGATTTCATGGACATTTATTAGTTCCCCAAATTAATACTTTTATAATTTCTTATGCCTGTCTTTACTGCAATCTCTAAACATAAATTGTGAAGATTTCATGGACACTTATAACTTCCTCAATCAATACCCTTGTGATTTCCTATGCCTGTCTTTACTTTAATCTCTTAATCCTGTCATCTCGTAAGCCGAGGAGGATGTATGCCCCTCAGGACCCTGTGATAATTGCATTAACTGCACAAATTGTAGAGCATGTGTGTTTGAACAATATGAAATCTGGGCACCTTGAAAAAAGAACAAGATAACAGCAATGTTTAGGAAACAAGAGAGATAACCTTAAACTGTGACTGCCAGTGAGCCGGGCAGAACAGAGCCATATTTCTCTTCTTTCAAAAGCAAATGGGAGAAATATCACTGAATTCTTTTTCTCAACAAGGAACATCCCTGGGAAAGAGAATATGTGCCTGGGGGTAGGTCTATAGATGGCCCCCCTGGGTGTGGTCATTTTCTATGGTCTGTAGACTGTAGGGGTGAAATAGACCCCAGTCTCCCATAGCACTCCCAGGCTTATTAGGAAGAGGAAATTCCCGTCTAATAAATTTTGGTCAGACCAGTTGCTCTCAAAACCCTGTCTCCTGATAAGATGTTATCAATGACAGTGGTGCCCGAAACTTCATTAGCAATTTTAATTTCGCCCCGGTCCTGTGGTCCTGTGATCTCACCCTGCCTCCATTTGCCTTGTGATATTCTATTATCTTGTGAAGTACTTGATGTCTGTGACCCACACCTATTTGCACACTCCCTCCCCTTTTGAAAATCCCTAATAAAAACTTGCTGGTTTTTGCGGCTTGTGGGGCATCACGGAACCTACCAACATGTGATGTCTCCTCCGGACGCCCAGCTCTAAAATTTCTCTCTTTTGTACTCTGTCCCTTTATTTCTCAAACCGGCCGATGCTTAGGGAAAATAGAAAAGAACCTACGTGACTATTGGGGCAGGTTCCCTGATAGTTTACTTCAATAAAGTTCTAGCTGGAAGGATCCTCAGCTAGTGTCAATGGATCATCCAAATTCTACAATAAGCAGAGTGTAACAAATAACTGAAATTTGGCTCATCAGAGGACACATATATCTTAGCATAGTTTCCATTTTCAAAAACTGGATTGGTTTTGTAGACATTCAGATTGTTAGCTTTCTCTCTTCTATTCAATCCCTATGTTTTACAATGAAACATCAACATGCTGACTCCTCAAACAACCCTCGTACATATTATAGACATTCTGCAGCACAAACAATACTCATATTCCCTCGAAGTTACTGGCATGGCTCCTGATAATTAAAAAGGGCTCACTCCTGCCAAGATTGTGCCACTGCACTCCAGCCTGGGCGACAGAGTGAGACTCTTTCTCAAAAAAAAAAAAAAAAAGAAAAAAAAGAAAAAGGCTCACTCCCTTCTTTGGTCAACTAAAATTCACGTAAGCCAAAAATTTTCATCCACGTCATTTGACACTCTGGAAATCCATGTTGTTTATTCAGTTTTTAGGTATTGTACAGCTTTACAAGTCTATTGATTGTGTTATTTAAATCACAAGCTATCTTCTAAAGTTTTATATAAAATCCAACTAGAATATCACAATTCTCATTTATGAATACATATACTTTTTACTCCTAATTTTTGAACTTGTGAGATTTATCATTTTTACTTGAGTTGTTGACAAGATTAACTGAAACACTAGATGGAAAAATAATGTAGGAACAGTAAACTTATAAATAGTAGCAGTAGCAGCAGTGTTGTATCTTTGATATGTTTGAGTAAGTATTGAGATTGTGTGTATATGTGAAGTGGAACTTCACAAAGAGATGGAAAGTAAGAGTCATGGTTTCAGGCAAGAAATCATAGTATTTTCAACCATAGTAATTGCATTATGACAATTCTATATTACATGTTATCTACATTGTAAGTTTTATTAAGATCATGATAAAGACATACACATTTGTTAGGCAGTTATCTTTATCTTTTGACCCATCCTTCTTTGTAGTTTACTTTTTTTCTCTTCCACTAGCCATATACATCTTTTGATGCATGAAAGTATGAAAATCTGAAAGAAAGAAATAATGTTTGAGAAAGTCAGTCAGTTGCTGTCCAAACAAATATTTAAAAAATTGCTTCCCCCTTGCTGCCTGTTGTCTGTTGTCCCTGTCCTACCTAAGTAACTTGACCAAAAAAGGAACAAAACAAAACACAAAATGTACTTTTAAGTGTTGGAAGAAAGTGTGCTGAGGTTCTTATCTAGATATTAAGCCTAAATAAACAGAGTCACATTCTCTGAATTCTAAAGCCTTGATTCAGTTCAATAAGCATCTATTAACTTGGCTGAGGAGAGAAGGATAAAGGAAGCCACATTCTTCATATCAATTACCTATGCATCTAGATGAGGGAAACTTGGTTAATAGACAACAAGGCTATTGCAGCTTAGAATACTTGTCCATCTCAAGACAGTACAGTAAAGTACAGTACTCAAGACA
Source organism: Homo sapiens (assembly GCF_000001405.40). NCBI lineage: Eukaryota > Metazoa > Chordata > Mammalia > Primates > Hominidae > Homo > Homo sapiens. Next base: position 85,733,523 of record NC_000007.14, read on the forward strand.
GTAAGAAGGCTAGTGCCAACTTATCTTTTTTATTTACCAGAAAAATTAAAAGATTTTTTAGAAACATGCTATAGTTCTCCAATTCTGCCCCTCTGATTAGGAATTCATCACATGCCCCCTTATAACAGCAAAGGAAAAGAAAATAATTTCTGGTTGAGCTCATTGCCCTCCAGGGCAAAAATCTGTGTTTTGTTAATAACGAAAAATGAAAGAATGGATTGTTAGACTAGAGTTTCTCCCAAGCATCCCAAGAAATTACTTGTTTGCTGCTGATGTCCCATAAGAAATTCAAATGGGTATTTTCAGAATAAGAGACAATGTGTTCTCCATGAGACCAACTTTCAACATTATTTACTAGATATTGTTATACTAGCTGCTAGAAAAGCACGTTTTGTTGATTTGTTTGTTTTAACTCCAAGACGGTGGACCAGAGGCTTTGTTAGCATGTCTTACCTGCTTAGAAAGAGCAAAACAGTGTGTAGAGATTCACACTGTGAACATTTATCTAAGAAGCAACACAGAGATTCAACAGAAACCTGAAAGAAACAACAGACACTTTGAAAGAAATGATGGGCAGCAGTGAGCCAGGCAGAAAACTTTCTGTCCAGAGCATGAAACGAGGAGAGACTGCCTCTGCGATGCTCACTCTCATCTGGGAGGTGGGCAGTCCAGGTCACAGGGGAGCTCCTCAACCCTACCCAGCACTGGAGCGTATTTGGTGAGCAGTCGGGAACACATGAGAAGGAGCTGCATCAGAAAATGCTTTGTATGCACTCCCAGACCCCAGTGGGGAAAGAGGGAAGCCATTCCTGACCTTGCAGAAGTCAGCCAGCTCACTCAGGTGGCAGTCACAGACAGAAGCTCCCAATTGACATTTGTAATCTAATCTCAGGTGAAGGTAAATCCCATTGGCCAGAACTAAGGAGTGAGTGAAAAGTGTGCTCTTATCATGGGTACAGGAGCTGGGAGCTCCTGCTTTCCAGGCAAACCAGGAGCGGCTTGGCCTAAAAGCCATGGTTTTTACCGCGGGTGGGAAGGCTTGTGGTCCGAGGCAGTTTTGCATCCTGAGAACAGGCTGCTTGGGATCCAGTTAGCTCTTGCCAGCAGAATACTGCAGGTGTGAGACCTACCTTGTAGAGGGAGTGGGAGCTGGGTGGGTCTTATTGCCATCTGATACCCTCTCTCCCATTTCTGTGCAACAGAGGTAGCTTGCTCCTCTCTGGAACATTACCCCAGCAGCCAGAGAACCTCCCTCCGATCCTCACTGTGGCTACTGCTTGCACCCACACGTAAGGAGCCAGAGCATAAACTTTCTTGACCCAGGCTTCACCTGGTCAAGATGGACAGAGATCTTGGTAGGTCCATGGCCCTTCCCAATTGCCTGAGACACATGAGTACTTCCCCTGGGTAACATAAGCCAAGCACAAATCCAACAGCCACCACGACAGCTGGCTCTTTCCTGCAAGTGCCACTTTATGGCTAAAGGCCAACCAGCACAACCCATTACTGCATCTGCTGGCACAACAACACAGTATCCAGGAAGCCAAAAACTTTTGGACAACCTGTGCTAACACCATTGCCTACATCACCCTGGCTAATCAGAAGGTCTTGAGTCTGTCCATGTGCCCAGTACATTAATACTACAGCTGACATTTGAGAAAACCACCACAATAAAGCCATTTATAATGAAGAAAATCATAGAGTTAATATCATCACTCTGCCACCCCCATCGGAGCTAGTGCTTGCACTGACTGCGAGGAAACCAGAGGACAGGAAAACTTGATCCAGCTCCACCCAACATTGCCTCTCTCTGGAGCTAAGCGCAGAACCCAGCCACTGCACACCCTGCAAACCAGTCCACAACCTGAGGCAGCAGAGAGCTTCCCCAGTTGACTAACAAGAGATGCTAGTGACCAATTCTTCTCAGAAGGCAGAATCAAATTACTGGTGAATAATCAGAGTCCAAATGAATTGGTAAAGGGAGAGTGCTAGACTCTATAGGAAAGTTCACTGGAAGAATCTACAACAAACACATATACAAAGGAAGTAACAAGCTCACAGGGATCGAACAGAAATCAAACCCTGAAAAACTTAGCAATCCATGGAAAGGATAGGTGAGAGTGCTCTTGACCTCTCTAGCTCTTGCAGTAGACTACTGATATATGAGCTCAAGGAGAGCTTCTTTGCTTTTGTGAGCAGAATTACAGTGGGCTATAATTTGGGGACTTTCTGAGGGCATTACCTTTGTTTACACAATGCTTTTTCCCTTTCCCTCTGAATCTAAGCTGTAATAGCATATACCATACTGAATGCACTCTCACTGAGGGACCTTGTTCTATTTAAGGACATTCAACCCTTGTACCTTAATAACATTGGATCCCTTGTAGATATTCCCCAGCACCACCTGGAATGTGGAAGCCCTACCAGGCACCTAGACTCAGAAGAGCAGCAGCATTCACAGTAGTCTGGCCCTCAGGGACCACCATTCCTAGGAGAAGTGGGAGTGCACCACATCAAGGGAGCACCCTGTGGCACAAAAGAAACCAGAGTACAGGACTTGAGTCCCAGAACTTTCTGCTTGTGGGAAGTTTCTTTCAGCAGAGTCACAAGTGTAGTGCTGGTCTCGGTGAGGAAGGACTGCAGTTCTACGCAGTAGTTGGGCAGCCCAAATACTCATGAAGAAATTTGGAGGAGACTTTATCTCCTCCTTACCACCACTGCGTACACAGCTGCGGTTTCTCCCACAGGAACTCGGCATGGGTCCGCCCATACGTAGCCTTTCCGGAGCACTTAGAGGTGACTGCATCCCCACAACATGAGTGCCCTCCAAGCTCAGGCTTGTATGAGGAGTACAGTAACAATCTCGCTCTACAAGGAACATCAGCATTCCTGAATCTGGAAAGAGGCACCTATCTGATATGAATAGCCAGAACAATGAGACAAGTGCATAATGTGGAGGCAGACAGCTTTCTTACTGTTCTGAAAGAGGAGAGGAGGTGGCTTTCTCCCTTCCCCTCAAAAAGACCTGAATGTATTTCAATGAGTGCTCCCCCAACCACCACTGTCAAGGCTGTGAACTTTTCCCACCATTGAGGTATTGAATATATCCACCTACTTCAGCCACAACAAAATTTTAGCCTTGGCCACCTCCTACTAAACCATGGACCGGTTTCCAGTTTAGTTTTCACCAGGTTGATGCCAAACTCGTTAACCCGGTGAAAACTAAACTAGAAAAAAATTTTAAAAGTGTACACCACTGGGAGATAAGATAAGCTTCATGATACCTCTGCCTTTCCAGCCCCACAAGAGACAGTGAGCCTGTTCACACACCAAGGACATTGTTAATACAACCAGCATCAGAGAAAGCCATCACAAAATGATTATCTATAACCAAGGAATTAATACAGAGTCTCTACCATGGAAAGCATTCAGAGCCAAAGCTAGGTCAACATAAACTGTACATTAAAGTCACATCTTCAAAGGAAAAAATATTTTTAAAGAAACCCAGTCAAATCAAAAATAAAGTTAAAAAAATAAGAAATAGTCTACTCAAATAAGAAGTAACCAGCAATATGAAAAATCAGCAATATGAAAAATCAGAACTTCTGGAAATGAAAGATACATTTTGGGGATTACAAAATATAGTGGAAAATTTTAACAGTACAGTAAACCAAGTAGAAGAAATAATTCCAAAGCTTGAAGACAAGGCTTTCAGATTAACCTGATCAGACTAAAATAAAGAGAAAAGAATTAAAAGAAGTGAACAAAGTGTACAAAAAATGTGAGACTATGTAAAATGTCCAAACCTAAGAATCATAGGTCTTCCTGAAGGAGAAGATAAAGCAAAATGTCTGCACAACCTATTTCAGAAAATAAGAAAAAGTTATTTGGTCTTGCTAGAAATTCAGACATGCAAATACAAGAAACTCAAAGAACTCCGAGGAAATTCATTGCACAAATGACATCACCAAAGCATATATCATCAGGTTATCTAAAGTCAATGTGAAGGAATGAATTATAAGAGCAGTGAGGAAAACCACCAGATAACTTACAAAAGAAGCTCAGTTGGAAGTAAATGCTCAGTGCCGCAAAATGAAACCTGCCCTCAGGCAAAAGTTCTTTTTCAGAAAGGCAATTTACTTCTGCAGAATGGTGCTGCCTGTGTCAATCATGATAACAAGAGCACACTGAACAAAGGAGGGAAGGGGTTTTTATTTCTGAGGTGTAGTTCCTACATCTGTGTTACTCCCCCATGGGCTGGTGTTAAACCGCACAGTCTAAGCTGACCCAATTGGCTATTTGCGAATATTTTACCCAAATAAGGAAGTGGGAAAGGGAAAGTGAGTTACAGTGGTTGGATGTGCAGTTTTGGTGGGAGGAATGGGTACAGAGTGAATAACCAAGGTAACAGATGTGAGTTATTGATTAGCACTGATGAGAAGGTTGTTTATAGTAACTAGGGGCAAGGAGGCACGGAGAACAAGAAAGTTAGGTTTGAGAACAAAGAACAAGGAATTAACAGGATGAACCTTTGAAGAGGAATTTTATTGTATCCTAGAATTCCCCCCTTCTAATTTTTATAGTTCTTCCTCTTCAAACCTTTTTAACATATCTTTGCTTTGTTGTTCAACTTGATCCTCTAAAAGGAAAAGCTTATCTGAATAAGGTGGAGGAGAACTAAGAGAAGTTTTAGTAAGTGCCATTTCTACAAGCCTTTGTACTAGCCCATGGGTGTATGGTATAATACAACACCCAACAAGAATGAGTACACCTATTATGACTTCAAGAGAAGTGAGAATTGAAGCCGCTATTCCTTTCCATTACCGAACCATTTTTCTAGTCATCCTGAAAAAGGGTAATCGACTCCAGAATTTCTAGCTAGTTCATTGGATAAAGTGGTAAGTCCTTGTGAAGGCTTTGTTATGTTTTCATCAGGGGCAGTATTGTTTGGGATGAAGGTACAACACTGAGTTTTAGTCATAACTCAAACTCCACATTTTCAGCTAACATCATTTCTAGGGCTACTGTGTTTTCCCAAGCCATTTGGCTAACAGGCCCTAATTGCTTGGCTATTACTTTGACAGCATCTCTAGTGTAATTAATAAATCACTGTTGGTTATAATAGATTTAATTTATCTGGTCTATATTTTTATTAATAGTTACCCATGGAAATACTGATTCAAATCCTACAGCTATTTGGTCTCAGGCTTTGAGTTTATTAGGTACTCCCTGTGGGACTTCAATTACATCCAAATAAACTTCAGAGTCAAAAGACCCATAGGGGCTTTTCTTATTTTACAGTGTTGTGATTTTTCTTTATCTGGCTAATGAAATATCAGGGTGAAAGGGATAGTCAATTGGACAAGAACGCAAGTGCCGCTCCAGTTACTTCACAGAGTATCCAGTAAGGGTCTACCATAATACCACCATACATCCACTTGAGGACGTCTAACGGTAGACTGATAGGTAAGCTCTTAGAAGGGCTTAAGCTCATTACATCTCATTAAGTTTTCAAGGAACGCCAAGTTCTCCCCTTGTCATGAGAGACATGAGGTGAAATTGACGTTGGGAGATGGAAGCTGGATGGCCCTCGGGGGCCGATCCGCAGGGTGTTGGACTTCGGGATATAGCAGAGAGAGAGCTTGGCATGATTTATTGTCCCAAGCCATAGAATCCTGTGGGAGAGCTTTCATGCAGCCCATGTGTGCTCTACTGGGAGACCATTCAAGTGGAAAGGGGACAATCTGGGCCTCTGGAGGCCGTGCACACAAGCATAACAATTGCTCTTGTTTAATGTGTGGATGGAATATTTGATTCATTCCAACCAGGAATTTATATGTTGATATACTGTTTCAATTGTTAAAGTTTACCTTAGATAATTTACTTCTACAATATTTGCTTTAGTATTATCATTGGATATAGAAGGGATGGCCGTCTGATTAGAAGAAAGCTCAGAAGGAGAAGAGAGGGAAGGGGGCAAACAGGATGAGGGATTAATAAAAACACATTTCAAAAGACCCTATGAGGTCTGTGCCAGGCAAGTTGGCTCCTATGCCATAGAAGTGACTCAAAGTAGGGCTAGGGTCGGTAGACGTGGTAATGAGAATAGAAATTTGCACTGGATTCTTTCTTTAGTAAAGTGAATGCATGGTTTTAAGGATATACAACCACCTGTAGATGAGGTCCAGCCTTGATACTCGGTTGTCCACAGAACATCATTCCAGCTATGACAGATCTGTTTTCCTGCATTTGTTAAGGCGCAAGAGTCTTGGTAGGTGGAGTCTGTTATTTTAAAGGGGCAGAGATACTTTTCTGAGGCTGAGAGTTACCTCTGACTTTGGAGATCTCTATAGGTTATGACTAAACAAGCATCAAACATAATAACTGGGGGTGAGTTTGATTTAGTTACATTGATAACAAGGTGGTCAGCAATAGAAAGGGCAAAGAAGAAAGAGTAATAAAATAGATGGAAGAGTGTTAAACTTTTTTTAGCTTTAGTTTGAGGGAGTATTCCCCTGTGATAATGGCCCATGACTCCTGAGGTGGTGGTGCTTACTTGACTTGGGTGTGAAGGGTCCATCCTTTTCCTGCTGTCTGGACTGCAGTTTCAGTAGTTAGAAGTACCAGGTAAGGCCCTTCCCAGGCCAGCTCAAGTTTTTCCTCTTTCCACGTTTTGATGAGGATGTGATCCCCAGGCTGATGTTGATGCATCGGAAACTTCAGAGGTGGCGCCTGTGCTAGGAGACTTTTGGTTTTAAGAAAACAGAAAGCAGAGGAGAGACCAAGTATATAATTCCTGAGGAGTTGCTCTTTCATTTTAAACGTAGAGATGTCAGCAGTGGAGTGTAAATAAGGCAATCCATAGAGCATCTCATGAGGAGAGAGGCCAATATCTTTCTGAGGAGCAGTTTGGATTCTTAAGAAGGCAACAGGAAGACATTTTGTCCATGGCAACCAAGACTCTAGAACTAATTTGGTTATGTGGCTCTTTAAGGTTTGATTCATCCTTTCTACTCTCCTTGATAAAGGTGGGTGCCAAGGAGTATGATACTCTCATCTAATGTCTAGTGCTTAGGATAACTTTTTAATGACATACACTGTGAACTGGGTTCCATTATCTGAGTCAATATTTTCTATTAGTCCAAACCTGGGTACTATATTTTCAGTTAATGCTTCAACTACATTATTGGCTATTGCATTGGAAAAGGGAATAGCTTCGACCCAGTGAGTGAGGTGATCTACTATCACTAATAAGTACTTTAGATGAACTATTGGGGGCATTTCAATATAGTCAATTTGAACACTTTGGAATGGTCTTAGGCCTGGATCCCTCCCCCCAGGTGTGATTTTTTAATAACTTGTTTGTTGGTTTTCTTACATATTAAGCAACTGTCTGTAACTTTTTTGGCTAGGGTATAAATTCCTATACACCCATAAACCCTGAGAACTGCATCACACATGCCTTGGGGTCCCCAGTGTGTCCCTTGATGCAAGTGAGACAAGATTTCTCTCATGAGGGGTTTGGATAGCATTTCTCTTTGATCTGGTAACACCCATTTTCCTTGTGAATTTTCTTTGGCTCCTATTCTTATTAATTTTTCCTTTTCTGTAGCAGAGAAGACAGGGGTTGCAGCAAGGGAAGGAAGACAAGGAGTTAAGTGAGAGATAGGTATTTCAGATGAAACGGCAGTGCGTTTGGCTACTTTATCTGCAAGGCTATTTCCTTGACTTGTAAAGGAAAAGTCTTTCTTGTGTCCAAGTACATGTACAATGGCCATTTCTTCTGACAGCTGAAGATTGTTTAAAATATGGACAATTAGCATTTCGTGGGCAAGATTTTGGCCTTTACTATTAATAAGACCTGGCTTAGCCCAAATTTTTCCAAATGTATGTGCTACTCCAAGACATACTTAGAATCAGTATAAATAGTTCCTTCCTTGTTTTGTAAGCATTTTAAAGCCTGGCTGAGTGCAAATAATACACAAGATTGGGCAGACCAACTGTTGGGCAACCTCTTTGATTCTGTTTTTTCAATAGTTTCTCCATCAATTACTGAATACCCATTATGCCTTTCTCCTTTATTTACTTGGGAGGAACCATCTATAAATAAGTGTTGCCCTGTTTTGAAAGGAGTTTCTCCTAGATCTGTCCTGACCTTTGTTTGGTGGTCAATTAAATCTAGACATAAGTAATTTCTTTTTAGATTTGGGTCTCCTGTCAAGAAACCTGCTGGGTTGAGTGAATTATCAGTAGTCAAGGTTAAATCATCTTTTTCTAGTAAAATGGCCTCATATTTTAAGATTCTGGAGTCACCTTTCTGCTTTTTGATTTAAAATTGCTCTAATTTGGTGGGCTGTTTTTACAGTCCATTTCCCCCCAAAAGTTAATTTTCTACTTTCTTCAATTAATATTTCTGTAGCTCAATGGATTGGATGCATTGAACCCATCCACATGTGACTGGGTCCAAAACTTTTGATAGTAAGGCTACAGGCTGCCAGCGGCCACCATTTTTTTGGGTAAGCACCCCCAAAGCTACTCCATTATTTACATAACAAAATGTGGAATGGTTTTTCTAGGGAAGGGAAGGCTAGGGCAGAGGTGGTTATGAGCCTTTCTTTTAGTTCTTCAACCTGATCGCCTTCCTCAGACATCCACAGGAGACGGTCAGGTTGTTCCTGGGCAAGTTTTTGGTATAGAAGTTTACTGTTTAGTGCATATGAGTCAATCCATAAGCAGCAGTACCCAACTAACCCTAAAAATTTGCTGAGTTCTTGCTTAGTTTGGGGTAAGGGTAAGGACACGAGGCCTTCAACTCATTCAGGCCCTATTCTTCGCTTACCTGCACTTATTAAGTGGCCTAAATATTCAACTTTGGGCTCCATATACTGAAGATTTCCCTTTGAAACTCATAACCCCTCGAACTCCAGATGGTTAAGCATATGTGTAGAGAAGCCAGCTGCTTTCTCTATATCCTCACCAGATATGAGAATATTATCCATGTACTGGAGCAGGCATATTTGATTTGGGACAGCCACTTTTTTCAACACTTGTTTTAAAATTTCACCATAAAGGTTTGGGGAGTCTGTAAACCCTTGAGGTAAAACTGTCCATCGATACTGTTGTTTATGCCCCTGAATGGGGATCCTCCCACTCGAAAGCAAATATGTCTCAGCTGTCTTCAGCCAAGGGGCATGCCCAGAAGGCATCTTTTCAATGTATTACTGTAAACCACTGATGCTTATATGGAACTTTCCTGAGAATGGTGTATGGGCTGGGGACAACAGGATTCATAGTTTGGACTATATGATTGATGGCTCTGAGATCTTGTACCAGTAAGTATGACTGGTCTGATTTCTTGACTGGCAATATTGGAGTGTTATAAGGGGACATACAGGGTTCAAGAAGCCTATCTTTGATAAGACTTTCAATTATGGCCTTTAACCCTATTCTTTCCTCTAGGGGAATGGGGTATTGTTTCCTCCTTACCACTTCCCTGGGGGTTTTTAGCTTGATGTGGATTGGAAGGATTCAGAGTATCCCTCAGTTTCCTTCCCTTGAACAGACATTGGGGTTAATATGTTTTTCATTTGCAGTAGTGAGTAGGTTTAATGAAGTAAGGAATCATTTAGGGCTAACTTATAGACCTATACCAAATTTTAGGATTTAAGTCTCTTCCTAATAGATTAATTCCTGTTTCAGGAATCAACAAAAAATGGATATGAGTTAATCAATCTTGTGATTTAACCGTACTTTCTATGACTTTTGCTTGAAATCCTTGTCGTTTTAACCCAGAGACCAAAGTTCTTTTGAAGAACAGGCAATGTTGGATGGAGGGAAATAAACAGAGGAGTGAGCCACCCCTGAATCAACTAAGAAGGTGATAAACTCATGTTTGGGTCCCACGTCTAAATTTATCAAGGGCTCTTGGTAGGACTTGAGGTAAAAGAAACAGAGCCCCTGACCCCCCTATTCTTCCCCAAAAGTCATGAGTGGAAGGGCTTCTTTTCCTTTTCTAATTCAGGATATTCTCTCTTGAAATGGTCTGTCCTTCCACATTTGTAGCACCTATCCTGTCCTTCTCTCTCGGTCCTGGGATTCTGCCACTGTGCCCTCCCCCCATATTCTGTAGAGGGGCTGGTAAAGAGGGCCTGGGTAATCTAGACAGTCGCTTGGGTGCTTTAAATAGGGGTCTGGACCCTTTATAGTTTCTGGCCCCCTGGAAGCTTTGTTTAGAAGCATGTGGGTTTGAAGCCACCTGTAGGAAAGTGGATACCATAAATTTTGCCTTTTGTTTCTGCTTCTCTTTGTCTTTTCTCACATACACTTTTTGAGTTTCTCTGAGAAGTTCACTTAGTAGTCGGTTCTCCTAATCTTCTAATTTTCATAACTTTCTTGAAGTATCTGGCCAACTTTTAGTTATGAAGTGGAGCTTTAACATTCCTTGTTAAGGGGATCTTCCAAATTTAGGCCTACATATTGTTTCATTTGATCTGTTAGTCTGTCTAGAAATTTCATAGGCCCTTTATCTTTTTCCTGTTATACATCAAGTGCTTTAGAGAGGTTTTGGGTTCGGGGTACTGATTCCCTAATTCTCTTCACTATTATTTCCCTAGGTATTGCATATTTTCCTGTCAAGCTGCATTATTATTGTCCCACCAGGAGTCTTGGGCAGGAAACTTTTCATCTGCAGTAGGAATGTTTTGATCAAGAGGGTGTTCACATTCCCAAATTGCCATAATAGCCCTATGGATCATGCTTCTTTCCTCCCCTGAAAAGAGGATGCCTAGGATGAACATTAACTCGACCCAAGTGTACAACTTAGGTTCCCAAAATTGATAAACTGGATCTGCCACCCCATAAGGGTCATCCAAAAATGGCTTAAGTTCCTTTTTTAAACTTTGGAATTCTTGACCTGGTTAAGGGAGGATTCACAAAGCCAATAGCTCCTCCTCCTTGTGGCACCTCTTTTTAGGGGAAGAGAGTTGAGGCTGACTCCTTAGGTGTGGAGGGAAGTGGGACATTTTGAATATCGTTTTTACATTGTTCTATCCCATGATGGAGTCTTTTGGGGAAGGGTACTTTGGCTGAGAAGAAATAGGTTCATGGTATAAGATTCCCAACAATCTGGATTGTAAGGAGGAGGAATAATGTGAGCAGGGGAGGGATCTGGAGTTTGAACTGGGACAGCAGTGGCTGCCTGAGGGGAAGGGTTAGGAGAACTGAGCGAGGGAAGATGGTCTAGAGGATCCCATATGCTGGATTCTTTAGGCCCAGGAATTGGTTTTTTTGACTCTTAATTTTGATGTTCTTGATTTAATTTTTCCCTAATTGTCTTTAAGGGAAAAAGGAAGATAGGTCCCTGCCTCCAACAAAGAGCACAGTCCAGTTATTCCTGAGAAACCAGACTTTTATCACTTACATGTTGAATTAGAAGTTGGCACATCACATCCTCATTTGACCCAAACTTTGGCCAGAAGATTGAAGGTTTGAGGATGGGTCCCTGAGTCCAAATAAAACAGCAATATTTTATCACTTGTTGCTTTTTCTTATGTTTAGTTCTCTCATTATCTTTCCAATATTTTAACATGAGTCCTAGGGGACTATCGGGGGAATATCTTTATTACTATCTTTATCCTTTTTATTCTGTCTTGCTTGGGGGTATTTCCCATATTGGGTCCAGTTAGGCTCAATCCCTCATGCTAGAGACTAATTGCCTATCTGTCTCTGAAGGCTTGCTGGGGCTCAATCCCTTGTATTAGAGATTTCTTGCCTATTCTTCCCTTGGGGCTTGTTAAGGCTCAATTCCTCATATTAGAGATTTCTTGCCTATCCTTTAGCCCCACCCACTGGAGGCTCCTTGCACACTTCTTTTGCTTTGTCCACTCTAGCCCCTTCCTCAAGGGGAATTTAAGTGCCTGTTGGCATTGGTGTGCCTGTATAAACCCCATGGCAGGATCCGCCCTAAGCCGTATGAGGTGACCATGGAGCCACTGATAGGACCCACTCACTCTGCAGAGCAGTAGTGCTTAGAACCATTCACACAAGCAGCACCACAAGCAGTAGTGCTTGTGATCATTCACACACACTTTCAACCTCCAGAATATCCCAACCACCGAGGAAATACTTTGTCACCTTGTGACGTTTCTTACCTTGGTCTGTGCACAGAGTTACCTGGTTGCCGTGGTGTTGCAAGCCTTTTCCTCCCCATGTTGTTGAGGGTCCGGGTTTATTTGTCACACCAGTTGGTGGGGGGGACCTGATCCCTCACCTTGAGGCCACCACAACGAGACAGTGGGATGTGCCTCCTCATGAGAGGTGACCATAGACCCCTTCCCCAGGGGAGAATGGGAATCCTGGACAAGCCCCAAGAAATTATTGGAAGTAAATGCTTGGTGTCGCAAAGTGAAACCAGCACTCAGGGAAGTTTTTTTCAGCAAGGCAATTTACTTCTGCAGAAGGGTGCTCCCTGTGTCAATTATGATTGCAAAAGCACACCGAACAAAGGAGGGAAAGGCTTTTTATCTCGGAGGCGTAGTGCCTACCTCTGTGCCACTCTCCCATGGGCTGGGGTCGAACTGCACAATCTAAACTGACCCTATTGGCTTCTTGTGAATATTTTTCCTAAATAAGGAAGGGGGAAGCGGAAGGTGAGTTACAGTGGTGGGAAGTGAAGTTTTGGTGGGAGGAATGGGTGCAGAGTGAGTAACCAAGGGAACAGATGTGAGTTATTGATTAGCTCTGACAGGAGATTGTTTACAGTAACTAGGGGCAAGGAGGTATGGAGAACAAGAAAGTTACGTTTGAGAACAAAGAACAAGGAAATTAACAGGCTGAACTTTGAAGAGGAATTGTATTGTATCTTACAGCTCTATCAGAATAACAGCAGATTTCTTTGCAGAAACTTTACAAGCTAGACAGGTTTGGGGACCTATCTTTAGTCTCCTCAAGCAGAGTAACTATCAGTCAATAATTTTATATCCAGCAAAACTACATTTCATAATTGAAGGAGACATAAAGCCTTCTTGGACAAGCAAATGCTGGTAGTATTTGTCACCACCAGTCCAACCTTACAAGAAATGTTAAATGGAGTTCTAAATATTAAAACCAAAGGTGAATATGCACCAGTATAAAAACACCTGAAAGCATAAGGCTCACGGGAATTATAAAATAGTAACACATTGAAGAAAATAAAGCAACTAAATAACAATCAACAGGATGATTGTAACTGTACCTCACATATCAATATTAATGTTGACTCTAAATGGTCTAAATTATCCACTTAAAAGACATGGATTGGCAGAATGAATTAAGAAACCAAAACCAAGTATCTGCTGTCTTCAAGATACCCATCTAAGTTGTAAATATTTTTATAAACTCTAGGTAAAAGGGTGAAAAAAATGCTTAATACAAATAGAAACCAAAGATGAATAGGAGTAGCTATTCTTATATTGGATAAAGATGACTATAAAGAAACAATAGTAAAAGAAAAGACAAAGATAATTATTATTCTATAATAATTTAAAAATCAATTTAACTAGAAGATATAACAATAGTACATATGTATTCTCTAACTCCAGAGCTCCCAGGTTCATAAAACAATTAGTACTAGATATAAGAAAAGAGATAGACATCAAAGCAATAATAGTGGGGGACTTCAACACTATACTGACAGTAATAAACAGATCACTAAGGACAAAGGTCAACAAAAAACACTAGACTCTAGAACAAATGGATCCAACAGACATTTACAGAACTTTCTACTACAAAATTGCAGAATAAAGATTCTTCTCATCAGCACATAGAAATTTTCCAAGATAGACCATATGACTGGCAACAAAAAACAAGTCTCTGTAAGTTTTAAATAATCAAAATCATATTAAGTATATTCTACCATCAAGCAAAATAACACTAGAAATTAATTCCAAGGGGAAACCTAAAAAACATACAAATAAATGAAAATTAAACAATTTGCTCCTGAGTAATATTTGGGTCAACAATGAAATCAATATGAAAATTTAAAAAAATTTCACAATTAATAATAACAGCCACACAAGTTATTAAAATCTCTGGGATTCAGCAAAAACAATACTAAGATGAAAGTTTCCAGCACTAAATTCCTACATCAAAAAGACACAAATACCACAAATTGACAACCTGACTTCACACTTCAAGGAACTAGAGAAATGAGAAAAAACCAAACCCAAAGCTAGAAGATGAAAAGAAGTAACAAAGATCAGAACAGAACTAAATGAAATTGAACCCCCCCAAATAAAAAGGATCAAAATGGTGCTTTAAAAGATATGCAAAACTGATAAACCACTAGATTGATTAACCAAGAAAAGATTCAGTTAAGCTGAATCGTGAATGAAAATGGAGACATTACAGCTGATATCACAGAAATATAAAAGATTATTTGAGGTTACTATGAACACCTTTATGCACACAAAATATAAAGTCTAAAGTAAATGAATAAATTGCTAGAAACATACAACCTACTAAGCATAAATCAGGAATAAATAGAAATCCTTAAGCGACCAATAACTAGCAGTGAGATTGAATCAGTAATAATAAAAATATATCTTCCAACAACAACAAAAGTCCATGACCAGATAGATTTACAGCTGAATTACACCAGACATCCAAAGAAGAACTTGTACCAACCTTATTAAAACTAGTCCAAAAAATTAAGAGGAAGGGAATCCTCCCTAACTCATTCTACAAAAACAGTATCATCATAATATTAAAGCCAGGAAAGGACATAACAAGAAAAAAAAAGAGAAAACTACAGATTAATATTCCCAATGAACACAGATGTAAAAATCCTCAACAAAACATTAGCAAACTGAATCCAAAAGCACATCAGAAAGATAATTCACCATGATTAAGTAGTTTTCATCTCAGGGATGCAGGGGTGGTTCAATATGTGCTAGGCAGTAAATGTGATTCACCACATAAATGGAATGAAAACAAAAACCAAATGATCATCTCAATAGATGCAGAAAAACATTTGATAAAATCTACCATCTCTTTGTAATAAAAACCCTAAACAAACTAGGCATAAAGGAACATATCCCAAAATAATAAAAGCCATATCAACCCACAGCCAATATCGTGCTGAATGAGGAAAGGTAGAAAACATTCCGCTCTCAGAACTGGAACAAGACAAAGATGTCCATTTTCAACCCTTCCATTCAAGGTAGTAAAAGACTTCTAGATTTGATAAACGAATTCAGTAAAGTCTCAGATTACAAAATTAATGTACACAAATCAGTAGTACTGCTACACACCAATGACCAAGCTGAGAATCAAATCAAGAACTCAATCCCATTTACGGTTCAACAGTTACAAAATCAATAAAATACCTAGGAATATACTTAAACAAGGAAGTGAAAGATCTCAACAAAAAGAACTATAAAACACTAATAAAACAAATCATAGAAAGAGGTGAGGGGTCAAGATGGCAGACTTAAAGCAGATTACCTGTGCTGCTGTCACGGAGAGAAATCAAAAGGGCTATTGAACACTGACTCACAGCAGCGAGTGAACACAGAGAGCAAAGAGGAGCAAAGCTGGGCAGCAGCCAATCTGGAATCAATGTGGATCCAGGAGAAGCTCCACAAGGTAGGAAAGCATGAGGGAGTGACTGAGGGCCTCAGAGGGATTCATGCTCTACACAGGGACCGTGCTTCTAAACTGAGGCAGAGAGTCACCCAGAGACTTTGCAGAGATAGCTCCAAATTCTCGACCTCTACAATCCTTGGACCTGGAAATAGACCTTCACCAGCACCATAGCCCCAGTAGAGGCTGCAGTCAGGGTGCCTGGGAGCAGGAAGATTCCTCTGCCCTGCCCTTGCCAGACAAAGACCTGTCGAGCTTCTGGCCAAGCCATCCCACTTCTACCCAAACTGGGCTACTCCCACTGCCTCTTGTTGCCCAGAATGCCCTGATGGCAGAGCAGGCAACCCCACCTACCCCCACCATTGTTAGGTGGGCAATGCCTGATGGAGCTTCTAGCTCAACAGGACAGCAAGGCACAGCCTCCTGCTGTCCCAAGAAACACCCAAAGGGCAGGGTGGATGACCCCACTCACCTCCACCACTGCTGGAGCTTCCACTCCAGTGGTTCAGCTCCTGCCTGAACTCAGTCAGGGGGTGCAGCCTCCTGTTGTCTAGGAAGCACTTAGACAACAGGGAGGGTGACTCCGCCTGCTCCCACTGCTGGTAACCAGGCGGCCAATGCCTACTAGAGCTTCCAGCATCAGCCATCTCACTTCTGCCTGAACTCAATCAACACATGCAACCTCCTGTTGTCCTGAGAAGCCCCAGACGGCAGGGAGGGGGCGCCCACTCACGTCACTGGTAGTCAGGCTGTGAACGCTTGCCAGAGTTTCCAGCCCAGTGGTTTTGCCTCTGTCTGAACTCAACCGGTGGGCAAAGCCTCCTGTTGTCCCTGGAAACACCTGGATGGCGTGGGTGAGGGCAGGGAGTGGTGGTGGTTTTACTCAAACCACCCCCATCTCTGTATTCAGGCCGGCCACACCTGCTAAAGGTTTTAGCTCAGTGGTTCCACTTCTGCCTGAACTCTGCAGGAAGGCACAACACCTTTCCCCCCACAGGAAGCATCTACATAGCAGAACAGGTGAATCCACCCACCCAGGCAGCTCCTAACTGAGCAGGATTTGAGGGTGTGGGCAGTGCTAAAGCAGGTGGGAGCCCTCATTCTCAGATCACTGTGAAATGTGACACCTGGGTTCCTAGGGTGGTTGGTGGAGGAACGAGGTGTGCCTCCCTCTACAGGGCCCACCTGACAAGGATACGACCTGCCTGCCAAATGTGGCCCCTGCCTGAGGGAGCCTTGTGGACCAGAATGCCCAACAAAAAAAATGCAAGCACGGTGCCTATAATCGGAGGGGGCACCTCCAAGGCCCAGGAGTAGACCAGGTGAGGGGGTCACCTCTCTCCCTCCTCACAACATACCACTACTGCTAACCGCACCAAAACACACAAGAGTCATACAGTGTACTAAGAACCTCTCCGCTAACAGTCTTAAGCGCCACCTGCTGGATTGCAGCCCAAAATACAACGCCAAAATATTTTGCTCCCTTATAGTGCCTATTAAAACTAAGGCAAAGGTTCCTGACAGACCCCTACCCTAACCAACGCACATGCACCTCACACCGCTGCTGCAGTTGCTGACACGGCGCGAGTGACCACGGATCCCACTGCCACGTCCCTACAAAGCGCTCTGGCGGGCAACTTCCAATAGAATATTGAGGCCAGCACACTGGAAACACCTTGGCCCCTTCAGCCTAGCAGATTCCTAACCCCAAAGAACCAAAGAACAAAGCCAGGCACCTGTTATCAACCCCGTAAGTTAGAATATGCAGCCTAGGAGTGCTGAGGTGAGCTTTGACCACCTGAAATCTTACAGAAACAAAACCAATCGACAGAACAAGCCAGTCAATTAAACCCACAATCAAACTTCCAAGCACATCAAAAAAGGTAAAGACAGAAACTCCTGTGCAATGGACCTCAACTTCAAAGATTAAAGGAACAACATCCCCACAAATAAGAAAGAACCAGCACAAGAACTCTGGCAATTCAAAAATCCAGAGTGTCTTCTTACTTCCCAAACACTGCACTAGTTCCCTAGCAATGGCACCAGACTGAAATGGCTAAAATGACAGATGTAGAATTCATCATATAGATAGGAAGAAAGATCATTGAGATTTGGGAGAAAGTCAAAGCCCAGTCCAATGATTCTAAGGAATACAACAAAACAATACAGGCGATGCAAGATGAAATGGCTATTTTAAAGAAAGCCAAATTGATCTAATAGAGCTGAGAATATCACTTCAGAAATTTTATATATAATCTCAAGTATTAACAGCAGAATCAACCAAGTTGAGAAAAGAATCTCAGAGCTCTAAGACTGGTTCTCTTAAATAACTCAGTCAGATAAAAATAAAATTTAAAAAATGAACAAAACCTCTAAGAAATATGGGATTATGTAAAGAGCCCAAATCTGCAATTCATTTTTGTCCCTGAAAGGAAACAGATAAAGCAAGAAACTTGGAAAACATATTTGAGGACATAGTCTATGAAAATTTCCCAACCTCACCAGAGAACATTCAAATTCAGCAAATACTCACTCAGGTACAACAGTAGAAACCTCCTGCGAGATACTGTACAAGACGGCCATCCCCTAGACACATACTCATCGGATTTTCCCAGGTTGAAATGAAAGAAAATGTTAAAGGCAGCTAGAGGGAAGAGGCAGATTATCTACAAAGAGAATCCCATTAGGCTAACAGTGGACATTTCAGCTGAAACCATACAAGCCAGAAGAGATTGGGGACCTCTATTCAGTATTATTAAAGAAAACAAATTCCAACAAAGAATTTCATATCCAGCCAAATTAAACATCATAAATGAAAGAGAAATAAGATCCTATTCAGAAAAGCAAATGTTAAGGGAATTCATTATCACCAGACCTGCCTTACAAGACATGCTGCAAGAAGTTTTAAATACAGAATGCAAAGATTATTCCTAGCCACCACAAAACCACACTTAAGTATGAAGACACTATTAAGCCAGCACACAATCAAATCTGCATAATAACCAGCTAACAACATAAAGACAGAATCAAATTTGCCCATATCAATATTAACCTTGAATAGGATGGGCTGAATGCCACAATTAAAATGCACAGAGTGGCAAGTTTGGTAAACAAGAAAGACCTAACTGTATGCTGTCTTCAGTATGCAATAAAACTCATACTCTCAAAGTAATCAGATGGAAAAAAACCTACCAACCAAATGGAAAACAGAAAAAAAGCAGGGGCTGCTATCCTAATTTCAGACAAATCAGACTTCAACCCAATGATCAAAAAAGACAAAGAAGGGCATTGCA
This sequence comes from Homo sapiens, assembly GCF_000001405.40. Taxonomy (NCBI): domain Eukaryota; kingdom Metazoa; phylum Chordata; class Mammalia; order Primates; family Hominidae; genus Homo; species Homo sapiens. Next base: position 85,752,434 of record NC_000007.14, read on the forward strand.
TAATGGTAAAGCTTTCAATTAAACAAGACCTAACTATGCTAAATATATCTGCAGTCAACACAAGAGCACCCAGATTCCTAAACCAAGTTCTTAGAGACCTCCAAGGAGATTTGGATAACCACAGAATAGCAGGAGACTTCAACAACCCACTCACAGTGTTGGATCATCAAGGCAGAAAAAAAACAAAGATATTCAGGACCTGAACTTGACACTTGTCTAAATGGTTCTAATAGACATCTTCAGAACTCTCCACCAAAGGAAAGCAGAAAATATATTCTTCTTACCTGCAGATAGCACATACTCTAAAATTGACCATAAAATAAGCCATAAAAAATTATCAGCAAAACAAAACAAACAATAAAAAGAAATGGAAATCATACCAGCCACACTCTCAGATTACAATGCAATAAAAATAGAAATCAACATGAAGAAAATCACTCAAAACCACACAATTACATAGAAATTGAACAACCTGCTCCTAAGTGACTTTTGAGTAAAAAATAAAATTAAGACAACAATGAAAAAAATCTTTGAAACTAATGAGAACAAAGATAAAACCTACAAAATCTCTGGGACACAGCTAACACAGTGTTAAAAGGAACATTTATGGTGCTAAACGTCAACATTGAACCATGAGGCTTGCCTTACAAGAGCTCCTGAAGGAAGCACCAAATATGGAAAGAAAAAACAGTTACCAGTCACTGCAAAAACATACCAAATTATAAAGATTATTGACAATATGAAGAAACTGCATCAACTAATGGGCAAAATAGCCAGCTAGCATCACAGTGACAGGATCAAATTCACATGTAACAATGCTAACCTTAAATGCAAATGGGCTAAATGCCCCAGTTAAAAGACACAGACTGGCAAATTGGATAAAGAGTCAAGACTCATTGGTGTACTGTATTCAGGAGACCCAAACTACGTGCAAAGACACACATAGGCTCAAAATAAAGGGATAGAGGAATATTTACCAAGAAAATTTAAAGCAAAAAAAAAAAAAAATGCAGGGGTTGCAATCCTAGTCTCTGATAAAACAGACTTTAAACCAACAAAGATAAAAAATACAAAGAAGGGCATTGCATAATGGTAAAAGGATCAATGCAACAAGAAGAGCTAGCTATCCTAAATATATATGCACCCAATACAGGAGCACCCAGATTCACAAAGCAAGTTCTTAGAGACCTACAAAGACTTAGACTTCCACAAAATAATAGTGGGATACTTTAACATTCCACTGGCAATATTATACAGATCAATGACATAGAAAATTGACAAGGATATTCAGGACTTGAACTCAGCTCTGGACCAAGTGGACCATCAGTGTGAAAATCCTCAATAACATACTGGCAAACTGAATTCAGCAGCACATGAAAATAGACATCTGCAGAACACCACCCCAAATCAACAGAATATACATTCTTCTCAGCACCCCATCACACTTATTCTAAAATTGACCATATAATTGGAAGTAAAACACTCCTCAGCAAATGCAATAGAACGGGAATTATAACAAACAGTCTCTCAGATCACAGTGCAATCGACTCAGCATTAAGAAACACACTCAAAACCACACAACAATATGGAAACTGAACAACCTGCTCCTGAATGACTACTGGGTAAATACAGAAATTAAGGCAGAAATAAATAAGTCCTTTAAAACCAATGAGAACAAAGACACAATCTACCAGAATCTCACGGACACAGCTAAAGCAGTGTTTAGAGGGAAATTTATAGTACTAAATGCCCACAGAGAAAATGGGAAAGATCTAAAATCATCACCTTAACATCACAATTAAAAGAACTAGAGAAGCAAGAGCAAAGAAATTCAAAACCTAGCAGAAGCCAAACAATAAATAATATCAGAGCAGAATTGAAGGAGATAGAGAAACAAAAAACCCTTCAAAAACATCAATGAATCCAGGAGTTGGTTTTTTGAAAAGACTAACAAAATAGATAGACTGCTAGACAGGCTAATAAATAAGAAAAGAGAGAAGAATCAAATAGACACAATAAAAAATGATGAAGGGATTGTCACCATTGATCCCACAGAAATTCAAACTACCATCAGAGAATACTACAAACACCTCTATGCAAATAAATTAGAAAATTTAGAAGAAATTGATGAATTCCTGGACACATATACCCTCCTAAGACTAAATGAGGAAGAAGTAAAATCCTTTAATAGACCAATAACAAGTTCTGAAATTGAGGCAGTAATTAATAGCCTACCAACCAAAAAAAAAACCCAGGACCTGATGGACTCACAGCCAAATTCTAACAGAGGTACAAAGAGGAGCTGGTACCATTCCTTCTGAAACTACTCCAAACAACAGAAAAAGAGGGACTCCTCCCTAACTCATTTCATGAGGCCAGCATCATCCTGATACCAAAACCTGGTGGAGAAACAACAAAAAAAGAAAATTTCAGGCGAATATCCCTGATGAACATCAATGTGAAAATCCTCAATAACATACTGGCAAACTGAATTCAGCAGCACATGAAAAGCTTATCCACCACGATCAGGTCAGCTTCATCTCTGAGATGCAAGGCTGGGTAAACATACACAAATCAATAAATGTAACCCATCAAATAAACGGGACCAATGAGAAAAACCACATGATTATCTCAATAGATGCAGAAAAGGCATTCAATAAAATTCAACACCCCTTCATGCTAAAAACTCTCAATAAACTAGGTATTGATGGAACATATTTCAAAATAATAAGAACTGTTTATGACAAACCCACAGCCAATATCGTATGTAATGGACAAAAGGTGGAAGCATTCCCTTTGAAAACCAGCAGAAGACAAAGATGTACTCTCTCATCATTCCTATTCAACATAGTATTGGAAGTTCTGGCCAGGGCAATCAGGTAAGAGAAAGAAATAAAGGGTATTCAAGTAGAAAGAGAGGAAGTCAAATTGTCTCTGTTTGCAGATGACATGATTGTATATTTAGAAAACCCCATCGTCTCAGCCCAAAATATCCTCAAGCTGATAAGCAACTTCAGCAAATTCTCAGGACACAAAATCAAAATGCAAAAATCACAAGCATTCCTATACACCAATAATAGACAAACAGAGAGTCAAATCATGAGTGAACTCCCCTTCACAATAGCTACAAAGAGATAAAATACCTAGGAATACAACTTTCAAGGGATGTGAAGGACCTCTTCACAAACAAATGAAAAAACATTCCATGCTCATGGATAGGAAGAATCAATGTAATGAAAATGGCCACAATGCCCAAAGTAATTTATAGATTCAATGCTATCCCCATCAAACAACCATTGATTTTTTTCACAGAATTAGGAAACAACTACTTTACATTTCATATGGAACCAAAAAAGAGCCAGCATAGCCAAGACAATCCTAAGCAAAAAAAACAAAGCTGAGGCATGACACTACCTGACTTCAAACTATATTGCAATGCTACACTAACCAAAACAGCATGGTACTGGTACCAAAACAGATATATAGACCAACAGAACAGAACAGAGACCTCGGAAATAATGCCACACATCTACAGTCATCTGATCTTTGACAGTCCCGATAAAAACAAGCAACGGGGAAAGGATTAACTATTTGATAAATGGTGTTGGGAAAACTGGCTAGCCATATGCAGAAAACTGAAACTGGACCCCTTCTTACATCTTATACAAAAGTTAACTCAAGATAGATTAAACACTTAAATGTAAGACCTGAAACCATAAAAACTCTAGAAGAAAACCTAGGCAATACCATTCAGGACATAGGCATGGACAAAGACTGCAAGACTAAAACACCAAAAGCAACGGTAACAAAAGCCAAAATTGAAAAATGGGATCTAATTAACCTAAAGAGCTTCTGCACAGCAAAAGAAACTATCATCAGAGTGAACAGGCAACCTACAGAATGGGAGAAATTTTTTGCAATCTATCCATCTGACAAAGGGCTAATATCCAGAATCTATAAGGAAGTTAAACAAATCTACAAGAATAAAACAAACAACCCTATCAAAAAGTGGGCGAAGGATATGAACAGACACTCCTCAAAAGAAGACATTTATGCAGCCAACAAACATATGAAAAAAGCTCATCATCACTGGTCATTAGAGAAATGCAAATCAAAATCACAATGAGTTACCATCTCACGGCAATTAGAATGGCAATCATTAAAAAAATCAGGAAACAACAGATGCTGGAAAGGATGTGGAGAAATAAGAACACTTTTACACTGTTGGTGGGAGTGTAAATTAGTTCAACCATTGTGGAAGACAGAGTGGCGATTCCTCAAGGGTCTAGAACCAGAAATACCATTTGACTGAGCAATCCCATTACTGGGTATATACCCAGAGAATTACAAATCATTCTACTATAAAGACACATGCACATGTATGTTTATTGCGGCACTATTCACAATAGCAAAGAGTTGGAACCAATCCAAATGCCCATCAATCATAGACTGGAAAAAGAAATGGGGCACATATACACCATGGAATACTATGCAGCCATAAAAAAGGATGAGTTCATGTCCTTTGCAGGGACATGGATGTAGCTGGAAACCATCATTCTCAGCAAACGAACACAGGAACAGAAAACCAGACACCACATGTTGTTACTTATAAGTGGGAGTTGAACAATGAAAACACATGGACACAGGGTGGGGAACATCACACACTGGGGCCTGTTGGGGCATGGGGGGCTAGGGGATGGATAGCATTAGAAGAAATACCTAATGTAGATGACAGGTTGATGGGTGCAGCAAACCACCATGGCATGTGTATACCTATGTAACAAACCTGCATGTTCTGCACATGTATCCCATAACTCAAAATATGATAATAAAAAAAGAAAAAAAGTTAGAAAGATCTTAAATTAACAAACTAACATGACACCTAGAAGAACTAGAAAAACAGAGAAAGCCAACCTTAAAGCTAGCAGAAGACAAGAAATAAATGAAATCAGAGCTGAACTGAAGGAAATACAGACATGAAAAACTGCAAAATATCCACCTATGACAAACCCACAGTCAACATCTTACTGAATGGGCAAAATATGGTGGCATTCCACTTGAGAACTGGAACAAGACAAGGTTGCCCGCTCTTACCAGTCCTGTGCAACATAGACCTGGAAGTCCCAGATTGAGCAATCAGGCAAGAGAAAGAAATAAAAGGAATCAAAATAGGAAAAGAGGAAGTCAGACTATCTCTGTTTGCAGACAATAATACAAATAAATAAGATTTAATACACTAAACAATCCTGTGTTTTCTGAGGAAAATATTCTAGATCTGATTAACAACTTCAGAAAAATTTCAGGATACAAAATCAAGGTCCAAAAATTAGTTGCATTTCTATACACCAGCAGCATCCAAGTTGATTGCCAAATCAAGAACACAATCCCATTCAAAACAGACAGACAGACAGACAGACACACACACACACACACACACACACACACACACACACACATTTAGAAATACAGCTAACCAGGAAGATAAAAAATCTTTACAATGACAATTTTAAAATACTTCTCAAATAAATCAGAGATGACAAAAACAAATGGAAAAACATTCCATGCTCATGGATTTGAAGAATCAATATTGTTTAAATGGCCATGTCTAAAGCAATTTACAGATTCAATGCTATTTCTATCAAACTACCAATTACATTCTTCACAGAATTATAAAAAAAAGTATTCTGAAATTAAGAATGAAAAAGAGAACAAATAGCCAAAGTAATCCTAAGCAAAAAGAACAGAACTGGTAGCATCACATTACCTGAATTCAAAGTATGCTACAAGGTTACAGTAACAAAAACAGCAAAGTAGTGGTATAAAAACAGACACATAGAAAAATGGGATAGTATAGAGGGCCAACACATAAAGCTGCACATCTACAACCATTTGATATTTGACAAAATTGACAAGCCAAAGCGATAGGGAAAGGACTACCTTTTCAATAAATGGTGCTGTAATAACTGAACTGTCATATGCAGAATATTCAAACTAGACCCCTTCCTTACACCATACACAAAGGTCAAATCAAGATGGACTAAAAGCTTAAATGTAGAACTTAAAACTATAAAACCCTGGAAGAAAATCTACTAATTACCTGTCTGGACATAGGCCCTGGGAAACATTTCATGATGAAGACATTAAAAGCAACTGAAACAAAAACAAAAGTTGACAAATGGGACCCAACTAAACTAAAGATCTTCTGAACAGCAAAAGAAACTATCAACAGAGTAAACAGACAACCTACAAAATGGGAGAAAATATTTGCAAACTACTCATCTAACAAAGGTCTAATATTCAGAATCTATAAGGGACTTCAATGAATTAACAAGCAAAAGACAAACAATTCCATTAAAAAGTGGGCAAAGGACATAAACAGATACCTCTCTAAACAAGATATACACATGGCTGTAATGCATATGAAAAAATGCTCAACATCACTAGTCATTTAAGAAATGCAACTCAAAGCCACCATGCTTATTACCTGGGTAACAAAATAATCTGTTCATCAAACCCCAACAACACATAATTTATCTATATAACAAACCTTCACATGTACCCCTAAAACTAATCTAGAAGTTTTAAAAATAATTTAAAAATAAATAAAATGCAAAAAAAATCATAAATGATGTAAGTGGGAAAACATCCCATTCTCATGGATTGGAAGAAACAAGACTGTGAAAATGACCACACTGATCAAAGCAATCTGCAGACTCAATGCTATTCCTATCAGAATACAAATGTCGTTTTTCACAAAATTAGAAAAACAATCCTAAAATTCACACGTAACCAAAAAGGTATCCAAATAGCCAAAGCAGTTCTAAGCACAAAGAATAAATCAGGAGGCATCACATTGCCTGACTTCAAACTATACTACAAGGCTATATTATCCACAACAGCATGGTACTAGTATAAAAGTAGACACTCCAATGGAATAGAATAGAGATTCCACAAATAAAGCCAAATACTTACAACTAACTGATCTTTGCCCAAGCAGACAAAAACATACACTGGTGAAAGGACACCCTATTCAATTAAAAGGGCTAGGAAAATTGGATAGCTACATGAAAAAGAATAAAACTGGATCACTATCACTCACCATATACAAAAATTAACTCAAGATTGACTAAAGACTTAAATATAAGACTTAAAACCATAAAAATTCAAGCAGAAACCCTAGGAAAACTGTTCTGGACATTAACCTAGGAAATTATTTACAAATAAGACTGAAAAAGCAAATGCAACAAAAACAGAAACAAATAATTAGGACCTAATTAAACTAAAGGCTTCTTCAGAGTAAACAGACAACTTACAGAATGAGAGAAAATATTTGCATACTATACATTCAACAAAGAATGAACGTTCTGAATCTATAGAACCTATAGAAAGGGCCTGGAGAAACTACAGAACCTATAGGTTATAGGTTCTGTAAACCTATAGGTTAACCAGAATCTGTAGGTTATCAAGAATCTACAAGGAACTCAAACAAATCCTCAAGAAAAAAACAAATAATCCCATTTAAAAAATGGATGAGCAACATGAACAGACATTTCTCAAAAGAAAATATACAAAAGGCCAGCAAACATATGAAAAAATACTAAAAACCACTAATCATCAGGGAAATGCAAATTAAAGCCACAGTGATATACCACCTTACACCAGCCAGAATGGCAATTATTAAAAAGTTAAAAAAAAAAAAAGGTGTTGGCACAGATGTGGTAAAAAAGAAACGCTTCTTCACTGCTGGTGGGAATTTAAGTTAGTACAAACTCTATGGAAAACAGTATGGAGATTTCTCAAAAAACTGAAAGTAGATCTACCCATCGATCCAGCAATCCCACTATTGGGATTTCCTACTACTGTAGGAATTTCCTATGGATATCCATAGGAAAATAAGTCATTATATCAAAAACATATCTGCATTTGTATGTTTATTGCAGCACAATGCACAGTTGCAAAGATATGAAATCAACCTAAGCGCTCATCACCTGATGAGTGGATAACTAAAATGTGATATATATTTACCAAGGAATACTACTCAGCCATAGAAAAATAAAATACTGTATTTTGCAGCAACTTTGATGGAACTGGATGCCATTATCTTAAGTGAAGTAACTCAGGAACAGAAAACCACATGCAGCATACTCTCATATATAAGAGAGATCTGTGTGTATGCAAAGGTATACAGAGTGGTATAATGGACATTGGGGCCTCAGAAGTGGTGAGGGTGGGAGGTGGGTGAGGGATACAACATTGTCTATGGGTACAATGTACATTATTTGGGTGACAGGTGACATATATTGTTAAGTATATGTAACAATATACATGTATTGTTTCATCTGTATCCATATGTAATAATATAATTCCATGTAACAATGGAATTTTTACATATAGATATATAATTTCATTACTAAATTTTATACTCTACATTGTAAAGTAAAATTGCACTAAAATACTTAGGAAGAAGGAATTGCACAACTTTTATAAAGTCTAACAACTGATATAATAATTTTGAAAGTTAAAAATTACACATAAACAGAAGAAAAATAAAGTATTTAAATCCATGGTTAAAAAATATTTACAATGCCCTTTCAAGGATTCACCTTCTAAACATTTATTCTGTAGAGGCAGTTCCCACAAACCACTATGATGTAAGTCAAACTCCTGGTTTATTTAATAACTATGAGGCAGAAAAGAGGTAACCATCTGAGCAAGGTTTATTTTTGTCTAACTAATGGCTATATCATGATGAAAAAGTTGTATATGCTAAGTAATTTTCACTTGCTATATGTATTGCTTATACAGTATTATTAATCCCCTAATGAAGAAATATATAATAATATGACATAAAATTATATCAATCATATTGAACAAACTTAGTTTTTACACGATTTGCTATGTTTAACCAAAAATACCATCCATCCAAATGACTGTGAAGTTTCAAAGAGAAAAAGGACAAGAGTTGTGTTGATACAGTATTTAATTGGAGGCCTGTTTGGGGCTTATAGTGTTTACTTCTTAATCAGCAATTGGACTTGAAATTGTGGACTTGAATAAGAAATACTGGAACACAGCGACCTTAGTTGAAACCCTTTATTGGGTTGATGGTAGAAATGGGAATAAATCCTGTAGCCATATGAAAGACATGTAAGCCACAGAGGCAAAATATTGCCAGAAAATTCTAAAAGCAAATAAATCAGATTGTGTGCACGTAAGTAGAATTTCATAAGAGCAAAATTCATTTCTGTGGTTAGCCTGATTAGATTGAATGGCTCTAATAAGTATATTCCAGAATTACAACTGAAATCAAACTTTCTATACATATATACTTTTATCTGAGGGGTTTTATCCTCAAATCTTGAAAATAATACAATATTACAAACCTAGGCATAAAGCTTTTTCTTTAAAATTATAAAAAATGAGATTATTTCTTTTTAAATAATCTTTGCATTTCCGGTAACTATAATGTTTGGTACTAAAATATAATTCCTCCCTACTAGTTATTGTTTTAAACACCACTGTGAGTCTATGTCATTTTGAAAAGAAAGAGGCAAAATTGATCAAGACTATCAAGAAGATATAAGTCTTGCAAAATAATCGAAGGCCTCTTCAAGGAAACATTGACTTGGGAGTTTAGGGAAACAAAGTTTGAAAACAGAGTGAGGGAAGAAATCAAAGGCAAAACACAACAAGTTTAAATGATGTTATTTTTCAATTAAGATTTCTTGGAGTAAGAAAAGGGAGACACACCGTTTTGCCATTTATCAATTTCATTTAAAAATTACTAGTAAATTGAACTTAGCTCATAAAATTCTATATTAGTAAGTCAGGAGTCAGTAGATAAGTGAGGAGAGGAGCTATTGTAGGTTTGTATTTTGAAAATAGTGAAATCAGTGCCTGAATGTAGACTCCCAGCTGAGTTTAAGGAAATATGACATTTATGGCCCTGTATTGTTTTTCTTAAAACTTGTGTAGTGACTAAAGTAATCATAAATAATGCAAAGGAGTATTAAAAACTGGAAATTGTAGCTTTATAAAGGAACACCAAAATTTAATAATATTTTAACTTTTTTTCAGTGATAAATCTATACATCTAACTGGGTAGAAATAGCACTGGACCAGGAGTCATAATGCAAATAATTCTTTCTAATTATCTTTCCATTAATTAACTCTATGATCTTAAGCCTGTTTTTCAGCTTATCTGTAACACATGTGTCTAATTTATAATAAAGAAAATTGGAATACATAATTCCAGACAGTCTTTGGAGAACTTGAACTTCTTTACCCTCCATAATGGGGAGCATTAAGATGGTGAAAACACAATGTGGAGGGAGGCCCAGCGTATGAGTGCAGTAACAGTAGGGTTAGAAAAGGGTAGATGCAGAACATGAAACTGAGATTTGAATTACAGAATAAAAATGAGGTATAGTATTATGAATGTGCGTTGAAGCTGCCAAGAACTCAGAATGATAGGTAACAAAGATGTAATCAGGAAGTGGAAACAGAGTCAGGAAAAATAAAAGTAGAGAAGTCTAAAAGCAGATATTAGAAATGCATGACTTTTTGTAAACTGATTTTTTAAATTTTATTTTTAGTTAGATACATAATAATTGCACATATTCATGGAGAGCAGAGCGTTATTTTGATGCATGTATATGACATGTAGCAATCAAACCAGTAAAATTATATCTATCACCTCAAATATTTTTCATTTATTTGTATTGGGAACATTCAAAATTCTCCCTCCTAATTATTTAAAAATATACAATAAATTATTTTTAACTATAGTCACCCTATAGTGCTATAAAACATTAGAATTTAATCTATTTTTAATGGGCCAGGTGCATACTTCCAGTCCAGCCATCCAAACACGGAACTTTATGTTTAATTTTTCCAACTGGAAAATAAACTGGTTTTAATATTGGGATGCTCTGTAATCCAGCAGGCCTGAGAAATGTTTTGATTTTCTAATGCTCATTAAATAGTCCCATTTATATTAAAGCCCAGAAGTTCCTGAATGTCTGCAAAGATTTATCTTAGTTCGAGTTAGAATAATCTATATTTATCAAATGGTTTTGTTAATTGCAAGAACTCAAATGATTAAGTTATATAAGCCCTTTTCCTATAATATACATGCAAAGCTCATCATAAAAGGAGAAGGCAAAATCACTTTAAAATGAGAATCAAATGGTCCAGAAAGATATATATGTATATATATTTTATATATCTTTAAAAATTAATTGACTTGTTCAATCAAAAATTTATTAAATATATATATTATTTATATATATATCATATCACAAACATACTCATTATGGAAGAATAACAGGGCACCTTCTCAGTTATGTGGATGAGAGTTGATGAGTTGATAGTATTTCTTTTTAACACCTTGTGTGCCACTTGGGGATTGTGCTATTCCTCTCCCACTTAGCATTAATAATAATAAGTATCTTAAACTTCTCTTCTGAGGGAGATAATGCTTTTGGTTTAATGACAAAATTCCACTGGGCCTCTCATCATTGTTTATCCTATCAATCATCTTTTAAAATGTATACGCACATAGTCCCTGAGCTTTTTTTGATTTTTTGACCTTATGATGGTGCAAAAGTAATACTTAGTACATTCCTTGACATACAAGGGTTTACTGGGACATAGCCCCATCGTATGTTGAGGAGCATCTGCATTCTTATTTTTTATGGACAGTGCTTGTCAAGGATTTCCTGTGGCCTTCCTTGGCTGAGAAGATATGCTTTTACTTCATGACTTCCCTACAGGGTTCTCCTTCTGAGGTTGGCTCAGAGAGTCATGAGGTATTTGTTTTGCCCAAGAAAACAAACAGAAAAGATCTACAGCAGGCAACTGCTTCAATAACTTTCATTATGTGTATATAGTAACATATATAAACTTGCAAAAGAAAATAAAACTTTAATTAAACGTCAAAAAACTTTCTTTTTTATTATACTTTAAGTTTCAGGGTACATGTACACAATGTGCAGGTTAGTTACATATGTATACATGTGCCATGTTGGTGTGCTGCACCCATTAACTCTTCATTTAACATTAGGTATATCTCCTAATGCTATCCCTCCCCCCTCCCCCCACCCCACATGAAGCTGGAACATCTTAACACCTCCCTTAACACCTGGCATGAGACATATCATAATTCCAGTCACAACTATGGTATAACCTTTATTCATAATCACACTGATCAGGGCCTGGTTTTCACTACCCATCCATATGTTTTCCTTATGGGAACTAACATTTCCATTACACCCCGAAACTCACGTTTACAACCCAGGTGCAGGGACAGGCTTGGTTTGCCTCATGTATCACTCACTAATCACAATATATCTAATTAAAAAATTACTAGTGTCATGGTATTAAGGAGACAACCTGAGGCATTTCTACCAGTCAATTTGACAAGTGATTGGCAAGGTTCCTCTGCCTTTGCCACCTTAGAACGTGCCCTGTCCCAGGTCAGACACAAAAGATTCATATTTACTATTATGGCCTTTATAGTCTCAGCCATAGTCATCCTGTCAACTGCTTGGGTTGCTGTTGCATCTATTACTGAATCAGCACAAACAGCTGCTTTTGTAGATAATCTGGCCAAAAATGTGTCTAGTGAACTTCTCTTACAGCAAGGTATAGATCAAAAAATTCTTGCACATCTGCAAGCCCTTGAGGCTGCTTTAGAATATGTGGGAGAGTGACAAGATACAGTAGCATTCCGTCAACAATTAAACTGTGACTGGGAACATAAACATATGTGTATCACTTCTCTACCATGGAATCAATCAATACATAGCTGAGATGACGTGAAACAACACCTCTGGAGAACCTTTCATAACAATTTAACAGCAGAGGTGAAGCAACTTAAAATTAAAATTTTAGAATCCCTTCACACCATATATCTGCACACCCAACAAACAGCCATATGGAAGGGTGTACAAGATCATCTCTCCTTGTTAGACATTCGCTCCTGGTGGTCACTCTTTGACTGGAAAGTAATGTTGCTAATTGTGCTTATGGTTGTTTTATGTTATTTGCTAATCCTAGGATGCAAAGCTGGAATAAGAGCAGGGACCCCCCCCGCCCCGCCTTAACTGACAAACCCATGGCTAACAAACCTGCGCTCCCCAGTAAAAAAAACAAAAAACAAAACAAAAAAAACTTAATGTTGAAAATAAAAAAGGGGAAGATGCTGGGGTTCGATCAGGCTGGTGGAAAAAATATTAGTTATGATAGCCACAAAACCCTTTTGGAAGACCTGAGGGTTTTCACATGACTTCGGTAATAGACCGGCCTGGTCCCATTACCTTTAGCTAAATAGATTAGAGTAGTAAACAAAGGGAAGTTTATCTTACTAACCTGTTTACTTATATGGGCTTAAGACTAACCTTTGTCCTACCGCAGGTACTTTACTGCCTCCTACTGCGGGGAGGGGTCAGGGGTCCCTAGAAGTTTATTACCCACAAATGGTGTTTGCTTTAGGCCTGGGAACCTGGCCTTTAATCTTTATGTTCTAGTGGTGTTTACTCACAACTTTTGTTAATTAGTCTTACTGAATAAGTGCAAGCCTGACTATCTGATCCGGGCTGAGTTGCAACTGTTTACAGAACTCAGCTTGGAGCCTGTAAGCGGCTCAGACCCTCAGCTGGACTGGCAGAGCAGAATATGTGTGTGTCAGTGTATGTTTTACTCATCCATCGCGGAATCAGGGGTTTGCAGGAACAATCCCCCCGGCAGCTAGTGCCCCCAGGAAAGGAGTGCTGCCTCACTTATTATTTCTGCTGCTGATGCTCCTTCATCCGTGATATTCCAAATTTATTTCTGGTATCCTTCCGATGGAAAAGCTTCTTTTAGTAGGTCTTTTGGTGCAGGTCTAATGGTAACAACTTGTCTTGGTTTTATTTTATCTGAAAATGTGTTTATTTCTCCTTCACTCCTAAAGAATATTTTCACTGGATATAGAATTACAGACTAAAAGTTTATTTATTTAACACTTTAAAAATTTTGTTTCATTAATTCTTTTATAAATTATTTCTGAGGTCACGTTTGTCAACCTTCAAATTATTATTCTCCTACAATCAACATGTTACTTATTCTGGCTAATTTGAAATATTTTTTGTCTTTAACTTCCAGTACTTTTATTACAATTGGTGTAAATGCAGATTTCTTAAGGTTTATTCTCTTTGAAGTTTGATGAGTTTCTTGAATCTGTAGATTTATTTCTTTCAAAAAATTGAAAAAGTACTCAGTCAATATTTCTTCAAATATTTTTCTTGCACTATACTTTTCATTGTCTTCTTCTGAATCTATTTAATATTATTTCACATGCTCCCTAGGCACTGAGCATTTGTTCCTAATATACTTTATTTCTGCTTGGATAATTTCTATTCATCTACATCAAGTTCACTTTCTCTTTTCTATGTCAATTCCATTATGGCTTAATCTAAGCCTATCCAGTAGGGGTTTTCAAAATGTATCTTATTATATTTTTCAGTTATGAGATTTCCATTTGATCCTTATTTATATATTCTATTAATTTGCCGAGATTTTCTAGTTTTCCACTCCTTTCAAGAATGTCCACTTTTATTATTTGTTGGAATGTTTTTAATAGCTATTTTAGAATCTTGTCAGATAGTTCCAACATGTGTGCCATCTCATCATTGATATACATTGATTATTATATCATATCTTTGTTGATATTTTCCTTGTTTTTTGTATAATGAATAATTTTTAATGTATCTTGAAAGTTTTGAATATTGTGTTATGAGACTTACCTCTTCTTAAAAAATCAGTGGATTTTTAACCTTTTCTTTATAGACAATAACTTTGGCTGGATTTATGGCACAATTTCCAACCAACTATCTGAATTGTGTTTTCAGTATAATTTTGTTTTCTATTTCCAGTGTGTGCTAGACGCTGGAATTGTCTGGGAACTGGGTGATTATCTGTCTCTTAATTTAATTCTCAAGGCTTTTGGTTTGCTGTTTAAGACATGTGTGCATACCTTGGGGCCAAGAGGGGGTAATCCCAGGACTTTTAAACTATTTTTATAGATTGGTTTTCTCAAGTTCCTTTCTCTCTGTGATATCCTTACTACCTTCTAATGTCCGGAAAGTCACCTTTATAATCTTCTATCCAGAATGCTGGGATTTTATACACTGTGTACTGCTGTACATTCCTTGTCATTTTGCCTGCATTTACGGCCAATGTCAGGTGGACAGAAATAGAAAAGATTAACAGAACATTACCATAAATACTTAAGATTATAGCTTCTCCAATCAGAAGAATGTCCACCTCCCACAGTTCCTGCTGCCTTGTTATGGCTTCTAGGAAACCTCTTTATCTCTCCTCAGGCCTGAACTAGACAGCAACTCCTGAAGCATGCTCTACATGTGCCAATGCCCCCTTCCATTGTAGGCTTCCTTGATTCCAGGCCAACAAATCCTGGAGAAAAAAATATATAGGTGACTTCACTATTGATTTAGTGTTACCTCCAACTGTGGTTTTCCACCCCAGATACTCTGCTATTTACTTTTTGGAGCCCACATATATTTTTTATGTTTAGGATTTTTAGCTTCATTGAGTCAGAATGACAGGGTTGAGTGTGCTTACTCTATCATACCCAGAACTGGAATACTGATAGCAGGAGGCAGACAAATCCCTAGGCAGATAGGGTGAAATCCCACCTATAAGCTGAAGACAAGCCTGAAAGCCAAGCTACAAGTCAAATCCACAGACCAGATTAAGAACCTGTCTTCCCATTTGGCATGCTTTTCTCTGATTGATTCTCACCCTTCACCTATTTTGCATATACCTACGCTTTACTAATTGTTTTTCTATACTACTGCACCCACCTTTGAGTGGTGCCTTTGCTTTAGCCTTTCTTTGCATACTCACAAACCAATCTGTATGCACTCCCCTATTCTGAGCCCATAAAAGCCCTGGACTCAGCCACATTGAGAGAGAAACCAACTGACTGTGGGGTAGGGGACCACTCCCCACATGCCCTCTCCGCTGAGAGCTGTTTCATCACTCAATAAAATTATTCTCCACTCTCCTGACCCTTCGAATTGTCAGCTTAACCTCATTCTTTTTCAACACAGGACAAGAGCTCAGAAACCACAGAAGGCAGGTAGAAGCTAAGACACAGGTGAGCTGGAGCATGCCTGGCCCAGCCATGGGTGAGCCAGTGCACAATCCAGGCTTGACACAGGCAGGCCAAGTGGGTGGGTGCCTCCAGCAGAGGCCTGAGGCTGAGTGAGGCCCAGGCAAAGTGGCCATTGCTGGCTGTGAAGGCCCCTGGTCAGCAAAGTGGCTGAGAAAAATCTTGCATCAATACTTCTGATAATATTTGAGGCATACTTATAAATTATAATTTCTTGATAATTGGCTAATCTGAGTCAGAAATACAGTTTTTGCTTATCACATTGGATATACTTACTTAACACTTTGAATACTCCTCATGAATAGATTATTTCAAGGTCAGGGCCAGGAAAAATAATGGCACTGTAATGTTTTGTATTATCATCCTTTTGGAGAGGAGTAGTGACTTATAATTTTGCTTTGGTATTTTTACATGTCCATCTCAAGGAAACATCCTCCCACTTCACACTTTCACATTTTTGATCATTCATGAAAATAATGAGAAGTGTTTTGTTCAGATATGATTTACATATATAAACAAAATTTAAAGTAGAATAAAATTTGAGAAACACTGTCTTAGACATATCTTTCAAGTACTTGTTATCATTATCTTTTAAAGTAATTTTTAAGTATTAAAATAGACATTTTTTTTTTTTGAGATGGAGTCTCGCTCTGTCACCCAGGTTGGAGTGCAGTGGTGCAATCTCAGCTCACTGCAACCTCCACCTCCTGGGTTCAAGCAATTCTCCTGCCTCAGCCTTCTGAGTAGCTGGTACTACAGGTGCACATGCCGCCACGCCTGGCTAATTTTTTTGTAGAGACAGGGTTTCATTTCATAGCAAATGCTTTTTTATTTAGGTTCTCAAGATCTGCTGGCAATATTTAATTTAAAATAGTTTTTAAAATTTAGTTATCACTTGTAAAGTATGGGAAGTAATTATAAGTAACAGACAGTAATTTCTGCTATCTGATTAAAACAAAAAATCATCTAACCTTTACATGATCATGGAATCGAAAAAGTACCTGCCATTAGAGTCAATCTTTACCTCAAGACAATGCTATATAGATAATGTAGTGCCAAATGCAGATTTAACAGAAAGTCCATTGTACAATAACACAGAGCATGTTAATACATGACTTGAATCTAAATCATGTTTAGAAATTTGTCATTTAATATACAACATATGTATGAAAAAGAAGATTCCATAAGACATCTGATTTGGAGTAGCAGCGAGTCATTTCAGAGTCATCATTAGATATAAAAATATATATCTATACCACTACATTCTTATAGTATATAACTTAAAGAAATGAAACTCAACATTTTAATGTAGATTTAAGTTCAAGATTGGGAATAATACATTAGAGTGCATTTAAAAAGTACAAATGAAAATGAGACCAAACTGAATTAGCTTAGTCCCAAAGTTGATATTTTCACATGATTTTGGGGTTTGTCAATGTCAATAACTGTAAATTATCCAAAGATCCAAAGATATAAAAAGATCAAACACACACATTCCATACCTTCTACAATGCCAAAATAAAATCCCAAAATACCATCTGAGCTCAAAATAAGAAAATTCACTTTGATATTTAAAATACAATCTCTTTTTGATAGACCTTATAAAATAAAGTTTGTATATTAAATGATAAAGGTGACTTACTTTAATTAGGGGTATTATTTTAGAGTGTTTTGGCAAGCTGCCTGTTTTGTGTATGTGTGTGTGTGTGTGCATGCTGAAGCTGATGAGATCAGCAAAAGAAAGTAAAATCTTTTCATGATACAAATCCAGTGGTCCATATAAGGTCACTTTTTATGGGATCCAGGGTACATCCCAAGCCAATGGTCAATTAGCACTAATATGGAAACTGGCTTCTATCATTGCTGCAACTCAGTACTTACAGTGTGCAATAACAACCTAGAACAGACTTGGTGACCTACACAAGGCCAAATGCCAAACCTAAATTATGATAGTTTTGCAAGCGAGACATCTCATGTTACCGCAAACCTTTTATGGATGATTTCTGCAGTGTTTTTAATTATGACTAAGTAGAATCACATCATTTCTTATACTTGTATTGTCGTCTCTGAACATCAATTTGATATTCATATGGTATGTATATTTCTGATTGTTTGTAACTATCCAGTTCTTCCTCAGTAGGATAATCTAGGTTTTGGTTTTACTTATAGGTTTTTAGCATGCTTTCTGAATTATAAGCAATACAGTAGACACAGCATTCTGGATTTTGGTTTCTCCTTAAAAGGCAAGTCTATTCTTTCACAATGTGTTACCTATGCATGCATTTGATACAGAAAGTTCTCTGAGAGTCAGAATCTACTTTAGAATAAACATGTACTTTAAGGATAGATGTGGTTACATTTAAATTAAATCTGATGCTTGAAAAGATAATCTATATTTAGAAATATTTGGTCAATGACTTGCCGCATTGTAAAGTTGGTGCATGTATGTTTGTATATGTGCTTAGTAAATTACAAATGTATCTAGAATATAGAGCAATACTTATGGCTCTAATTCTGTTCCCAGAAGTTGTGTTTGTATTCTCAATTAATTTTGAGGTTTTTAATTTAAAATAGAAGAAGAAATTTTATTAATGAAATATCTACTCAGAGAGTCTAAATTATTTATAGAAAAAACCTATATATATATATATATATATATAGTACTTTCCTGCTAAGGTGAGCAAAATTTCTAATGACAATCAAGTATATATACTTTGTAAATAGCAATATAATTATTGTTGCTTATTTTAAGGCTGAGTCTTGCATCTGTTTTTAAATAGTAATTCTTGTTGTTATTAATAGCTAACATTTTATGTTATGAATTAAGTCTGGGTTGTTTCCCCCCATTAGACTGCTTCATCTTTTACTTACATAATCTTCTTATAATAGTCCTGCACCCCTATAATTATTTATCCTTTTTATCCGTCCAGTGGCTTGCTCTCATACACTACTGAACTGATTCTTCATATGAGCACAGAGACAAGTATCTATAAAAGTAGTTCCTTCCATCGATATTCAAAAATCTCAGTGTGCCAACCTTAAAGCTAATGTAACTACAGAAAAATTACCGTCCAAACATTAAACTTCTAGGTCATCAGAAACATGTTGTACAGAATTCTATCCAGACTGATTTGCTTCCAAATGTTTAGCTAAAATGGGGGATAAAATAACTCATATTTTCCTCAATTGAGTATTTAAAAAATTGAATGTTTGGCAAAACAGTATATTACATCATACTTAGTGATAAACTTAGTAACAAGACATACACACACACATATATAGATAGATATAGATAGCTATCTATTTATAAATATATGTAGATAGATCTGTACGTATAACATACCACTACACAGGTTTATTTCATAGCTACAATTATTGTGGGATAGCATGGCTTTCCACTTCAGTATGTACTAAATTTTTATATGTAAATATATATACTATCATATATATAACATTTTATAATATAGCATTTATAATATGATATTATATATATAAAATATTTAGTACATACTGAAGTGGAAAGCCATGCTATTCCATAATAATTGTAACCATGAAATAAACCTGTGTGGTGGTATATTATACATGCAGATCTATGTATATTAAAAAATTGGATTTGATGTGATGCTCAATATTGAGAGAAAGCAACTTCTGCTATGATTTTTATAAGCATTTTTGAAAATAAATTTTAATATTAGGAATAATTTTACATATGTTGTCATGGAGATTCCTGCTTTCTTTAAGCATCAGTCTGGTGTGTAAAAAACACAGCAATACCATAGTAAATTCTCTAAAGCCTAAGATTTAAAGCAATGCAAAGGCAATCCATACATCAATTACACTTTCATGCAACAAGTAAAGGAGTTAGGAACATGAGAAGTGTGTCAATTATTATTTTTTTAATTTCTAAATAATCTATCTTCATTTTACAATAACAATCATATGAGTTTTCAATATAGATTATTTAGAAACAACAACACATGAACAATAATTGACACACATCTCATACCCCTATCTCCTTTACTTATTGCCTGAAAGTATAATCGATGCATGGACTACCTTTGCATTGCTTTAGAATTTCTCAAAGCATTATTGATATTCCGGCTCACATTGTAGATGTCCTTTCTGAGGACCTGAATTTGAAAATTATGTGAATTTATTCATAACTATAATTGTTCATATATTTAATTTATTACATAAGCAAATGAGATTTTATGACAAAACTTTTTGTTAATATTGTATTGATGGCATACATCATCAGTATCTTCAAGTATTATCTTCACAGTAACAAAAAGTCACACTGAGAGAAATGTCTTACATACCAACTGTTACAAAATAGTCATTGATAACTTAGATTATTGATATAAACTGAGCAATCTGGAAGCAGCTTATAAAATAACTTTATACAAATCTATAACTATGTTAATTATACTGTCAATATAACACATATTTAGTTTTCTTTAACTAGCAAGAGATCTTTGCTTTTGTGACTTAGAATAGATCAGTTTTACAAAGGATATGTTTCTTAACTTAGTACAAATCAAGTATTGTTTAAGTTTTGACTTAAATGACCACAGATTACATTTTGTGTTCTCCAAAGTACATAACAAAATTCAAATACAAAAAAACACACTAAGATAGAGTAAGATGTTCTTACATCAGCCTCCAACTCCCCTTCATTTCTGTGTATGACACATTTTCTCCTCCATGCCAGATGTGCCGAGAATTATCACTCTTTGTCCCAAGGGCCTTTTTAATATTTTCATGTGGTCCTCAAGTTTTGCTAAAGCAATTGCTAAAAGTGTTTGTGTATATATACACTTATCCAAGAATTGGAAAGTCACAATAACACAAAGGAAAGCCTCTATATTCAAATTTTAAAGAGGCTTTAATTTGTTTCAGTATGACTTGTCAATTCCTGGATGCCTATTTCATTTATTCACTAGAGAAGTATGCAAGCTGAGTTTGGAAGACTCAGCCTGTCTGTTATTTGACTGTTTTGCAATAATCTGTATTCTTAACCACACTGCAGTTACGGAGAGAAAAAAAACTTCTATTCTCTTTGGTGTGAATAGTTACTTTTGAATGGGGTCAAACTGAATTTCTATTCCCCAGGAAACAGATACAGGGACACGATTAATGTGACATCATTAAGTAATACAACTACTCCACTTTTTCTATTTTCTGCCCATTAATCAGTTAACAAAAGTTAACTTGCAAAAGTTAGAATGTAAGCTGAGTTTCCCACAAGGGTATATTTCAGATATGTTTGTTGTGGTTTAGACTATGAAACCCTGGGTATCATACCCCCTCCTGCCATAGCTTAAGGGATACAAGCATGCAGTATAAAGTTACACTCGATTACCACTCTAATTTATAACATTGACTAAAAAATACTTTTCTATTCTGAAGAAAAGGTTGAGGAAAAAGGTGGAGTCAATGAAACATACTCTACATCATTAAAGCTGCTGATGTGACTGAGAGATTGAGATCTACTATGGAAATAGGGGTTGGGAGAATCTGAGATTGCTGATAGGAAGAAAATGTTAAAGGCATCTCAGTGTCACTTCAGTCCAAGACATGAACCTTGAAATATGTTCTGTTCTTTATATGTTATCTTTGATTCTCAAGGTGGCATAGCTACATCAGTAATTTATAAACTCTAAAATCAGACTGCTTACTAACTCTTTGAATGTAGGTATTGTATACAAATGTCTCTGTGTTGGTTTCATCATGTGTAAAACTGGCATGAAAATAATAGTACCTAATTTATAATATTACTTGGGGGATTAAATTAGATAAAATGTGTAAAACGTGAAATAGTGTTAGAAAATGAAGAATCACTATGTAACATTGTTATTGCTATCATTTCATATTTTTAGAACCTTGTCTTCTGTCTTGTCTAATAGACATTTTGTCCTGCTGATTACCTATCGGAAAAAAAAAAAAACACAAGGAGATAAAGCACACAAAGCCTTGGGAAAACATTTGATTGACTTGGGAATATTTTGAAATGTATGTTGTAATCTTGATATGTGTCAGATGGGATAACATGTTGTGACTCTTTTTACAATAGTCATAAACTTGAAAATGCCTGTTGTTATTAAGTAATTTGATTTATAAATTTCCATTTTGATTCACCAGTAAAATTTTACTCCTGCTACTACTACTAATGATAATGATAGAATCATTACAATACAGTGATCAGTGGTTTTTTCTTCACAAAAAATACAATTTGTTTACAATTTTATTATTAAAAATCTCAAACAATACACAGTATAGTCTAAATTCTAAATGTACAAATGATGATATTCTCTAGATATGATATCAGCTGTTTTAATGTTAAACATGCAGATCTGAGAAAGAAAAGCTATTTACAATTTATTCATATATTATAAAGCCAAATGCAAGAAATAGCCTTTACACATTGATGTATCAGGCAGATGAGCCAGGACTCATGTATCCCTAGATCAACCATTGATTACGTTCCCTGACATGTTCCTGGCTCCAGAAGGCTTCGCCAGACAACGCCACGCTTTCCCAATACCTTGGCGTATCTGTAAAAGGGTAATACACTGGAATGGAGAACTGGGATGAGGCAGTGTTATTTACTTCTTTTTTTTTTCATAACGTAGCCAGTAAGTTTAGATGGATTTCACAGAGCTGCAGGACTAACTGAATCCACAAGAACAAAAAAATCAAATGGACTCTTTCTTAGGAAAAAATAAAGAAAATCAGCAATACCTCAGAAAACTCTGAGTGAATAAACTGCCAACTTTTCTGCTAAAATACAACTAATGTCAACACTTTGTAATTTCTAGTTACTTTGCAAGCCAAAATCACTTTTCCTTAAATTAAAGACAATAAATGTGATTGTGTGCCAATAATTCTAGTTTCTATATGGTAGTTATACGTTTTGCCTTTGCATCGTATATGAAATGAGGCCATGTAGACAGCACATATATGCAACATTGTACATCAATTACTGAAGACTTTGCAGAAATATTGAAGTGTCATATCCCCTTTCCAGCAAGCCAGTGGGCTCTCTCACAAGTGAAGTCTTTATCAGGCAGCAGAACACTTGGCACAAAAATTGTTTGATTATAACAGGCTGTATCCAGAGCTAAAATATAAATAATTCTGAAATTGGCTGCTAATTAAGGGAGTACAGCCGAATGAGGTTACCAGATACATTCTCTCTCAATGGAATTCTATTTTTCAAACACATAAAATCTAATTTACCTTTTCCCTATATTATTTACTAATCTTACAAGAAGACACGAAGTAAATAATTATTTATAAAAGACTTTACGAAAATAACTTATTAAATATAAAGCACTGATTATTATCCAGCCCGCCCACAATATTATTTTCATCATAAAAAATGGGATACAAAGACATGAGTAGAATTCAACTTCTTTTCATCTAGCATTGTTTCTTTGTTGCATCAGAAAAACTGCCACTTTCAGGACTAAATTTCAAATGATTCATAATTGTATCTCCAAGTAAACATGGGGATTGTATTATGCTGATGAATATTTTCTCTTTATTGGTGGCATTAACTTAAGAGGGTGCATCCTGTACAGACCTGACCCTCACATTCTGAGGCTGGTATTTCTTTAAAAATCCTAATGCAAGCTGACTTCACCTCTATGCTTGATCTATGATTTTAGTTATTGCATCTACAATAATAGCTTTTACACTTTTTAAAGGAAAGACAGATAAATATACACAAAAGTTGTTTCCAATACATAAAAGAGAGAAAAGAGGAACCTATCTAATTGAAGAGTTAGATATTGAAGAAACAACCCCACCCTCTTTGCTCTACTTCTATCCTATCCAAATTCTTCAGAGGCTAAAATCTACTAACTTAGAGAATTACCTTCTTTTCTTACTACAATCTAAATGGACATAATCACAAGACTTTTCCCCGCATTCACTGTCTAGAATATAAGAGCCTTTGACTGTTCTGACAGAATAGTTAATAAACTGCCATTCATTTTACCTACCTTAAATGCTTGCTCCTGATGTTTTACCTAAAATACATAACTTAAAAATTTCCTAAGTGGCCTGATTCTGAAAGACACTGGAACTCACAGTGAAACATAACTTATACACTAACCAAACAGATTCTGTGAATTACACATAAGAAAACCTTGACTATTGTGTAGGCAGGAAAGAAAGCAAACAAATTCTGCTTTTACTCATTTGCACATTGCATTACCATAATTTTTCCCTTCCAAATAATATGCAGATGGAACATTAGGCAACATGCTGCTGTAAATCACTGTTAGTGCTGTGGTAGTGGCAGGAGAAAACAGTTAAGGGATTCATTTTTATTCCAAGAAAATCATACTTTTCAAATCCATCTGAATCACAGCCAACGGATTACTTCTTATCTGGCTATAATAAATGTTCTTTCCATCAGCCTTGTATGTAAAAAAAAAAAACCCACCTCATTGTACTAAAAAGTACAATGCACTTCAAGGTCAGCTACAGTTGCCCAGCTTTCAAATAGGCACCACAGCTTGTGTTTTTATAGAGAACAGGTGAACCACAGACTGGGATGTGGTTCCTGCTTTTAAACTTCCTGTATGTGTAGTCTTTAAGTGAGTCTGAGCATTTTGAGTTGCAAGTCTTTACAGCCCTTCTGATTGCCCACTTATTTACTGGATTTGTGAAAAATTTGTGAGAAAGTCAAGAAGTCATTCTGTTCTCTAGGATGAGGAAAAGATTGTTACAGTAAATGACAGAGGCAGTGTTATAATTTATGACACCTCTATCTCACCAAAGGAAGTCTTCCTGAGAGCCCAGTAAATCATTTGTGGCACAATGATGGGTGAGAAAGGGAAAAATGAAATAAGTTAAATCACCTGAGCCTCAGTTCACATCCTGCCATGTAGGTCCAGGTGATAGGGCCCAGCAGGCCTAGAATTATGAAGTTCACAAATACGTATTTTCGTTCAGCCTACGCCTAAAAAGCTGTAAGAATCATTTTTACATACTATGTGACTATATTGTATAGGTACATATCTGCATTTATTTCTAGCTTTAAATCATTTCCATTCTCTAAATGCACACGTTTTTCAGTATTATGAAGATGAGGAATCTTAGAACTTCTAAAAGTGCTTTCTAAGGAATGAATCAGATTAAAACAACAATTAGCAAGAAAAGATAAAAGCAGAAGAAGGATGAATGAAATTTACATTTCAATGATGTAGTGATGTCAGATCAAGAGTTAAAAACAATGTATATATGTATCAAAATATCACACTGCACTGTATAATACATACATATAGTTATTAATCAAACATAAAACAAAAAATAAAAATAAAAATATGAAAATAAACTAGATATAAAAATGATGGTGCTATTTCAGTGAAAAAAGCCTATTAAGCAAAGGTTTGGTTGTCAGTTTCACATGACAAAAATGTAAAATTGGAGTAAATTTTCTGAGTGAGTTACATAAATGAAATTATGAGCTTTGGTACTTCCAACTAGATGATTACTACTTGAAAAACGCAACTGTTTGGTTTGTCCCACTCATGGAGAAGTTGCAAAGATATAATATATTGAGAGAACATTAGGAGAAAAGTTGTATACCCTACTTTATTATTATTATTATTATTATTATTTTACTGAAAAGTAAAATTTCAGATAGACCAAAGATTTAAACATAAACTATAAAATACTGGAAAGACACAAGGATTCTATTGTATTTTTTGTAATACTTAGAGGAGTAAATGTGTCTCTAGAGACTCAGAAGCTACTGAATAAAAAGTAGACAATAAAAAGTAGACTACCAAATATAAAGTCGACTTTATTATTTTTAAATATGTGGATAAATTAAAGCAATAGTACTTCATCTTCACAATGTTTAAAGAAAATTAGGATTGTTATTTGAAACAAATAATACACACAAAACGTTTATTATATAACCCAAAACTCATAAATATAAAAACAAAAATAGCCATTCTAAATAAATAGGGTAGGGGTGTGTTTGTTCAAGGATTATACCATGTACTTCACAGGGAAAAGGATGAATGGCCAAAATATTATCAAAAGATGCTCTATTTGTTTGACTTGACTTACCATTAAATACATTCATATTATATTAATAAAATATTAATTTTATGTATGTATATAATTATATGCATGTACATATATATGTATATATACACATATACACACAAGCTGTTTTAAGGAAAAAAATACTCTCATATTCTGTGGATGATATTTAAACGTAATTGGAGTGAATTTTGTCAATAACTATCAAAATTTAAAACACACATTCCCTTGGATCCAAAAATTCTACCTTGGGGAGTTTATTCTATGATTGATTATACTTCCATGGAAATCATATAGAGCAATTTTGAATGCAACATTCTCTAAAGTAGAAAAATATTTACATAAACATGCATCAATAAATATGCATATGGAAATAGGCCCATGATTATTTGTTAAATTGTTACATAGAAAAAAATTTAACACAATGTTTGATTGATAATGTGTTAAAAATACAATTATCTGTTCATAAAACACATTTTGCACGAATCCACAATAGACTGTTAAAGTTCTTTCTGAAGTTTGTGGTGCTTTGGACCTCTTACTTTTTAATTTACAATCTTCCCATATGGTTTGGAATCTTTGTATAAGAATACATGATGTTTATAATGAAAATAACTGTGGTTTTTATGAATTTCAAAAATTGAGTTTTGTACACTAAATGTGCTTAATTACTCTATTGTTTTTAAAACTGAGTTGTATAAAAATTACATCTTGATAAAAAATAGAAAATTGCTTACACTAAGCTCATGATTTTTGATGGAGTAGAGTTTACAAAATTGGAAAAGTAGTAAATTAAGAATGAGAAATGAAGTTTTCTGGCTTCAATTCTTGTTTTAAATCCATGCTTCATTATTTACCACTTATGTGTCAACTATGTCAGTATGCTCCCAAAAGCTTGATTTTTTACCTTTTAAAATTTAGTAAGATAATTGTCCTCTATGTTGTAATTTTATATGATTAAATAGAGGAAAGCATGAAAAAGTGCTTTGTAATTTATTTTTGAAGTGGTTCTTATCTATTTTATTTAGGATATACTGAACTTCACTACCTTTATGCTACTGCAGTAAGAGACAAAATAAGGCTAAATTTTATTAATAATTACCTGAGTCAGCTGGCTCTAGCCTATGCCTTTCAGTGTAAGACTTAAAACTCTCTTCAAAATTATTTTCACTTACTTTGTAGATGTTTCCTGTGTCCCATGGACAAGTTTTCTCAAACCCTGTGGCCTCTGGTGCTTCTACTAATCAGCAAGAAATTCCCTAAACATAAAACCAAGAAAAGGATCTTTCTGTGTGCTAAGTCACCTCCAGTCTGCTGTTAAATGTTGCCCTTGGTTAAATGTTGCCCTAGTAGTGCCCAGTAGCTCACCAGGAATCCCTGGATGTGTCCAGCCACTCTTGATGGCATTGCTACTACCAGGTTCCCGGATGCTATCATGGTTGTTGCCTCATGAAAGGGAAATAATCGTTTTCAAGAAGACTCTTGGGTGACAATAGTTACATTAGATTTTGTTTTCTTTTTGTTTTGTTTTATTTTCTAACAAATTTTCTCCAAAGGCACTGAGACACAAATCACTGGAGATAAACTGGAGAAATATGTTTTGTCTTCACACTTTGGGCAAAGCTAGTCCTCTCTTCCAAAACTTCCAGAACTTTCATTATCAATAGTGTTTCTCGGTTCTCTCGAATTATGATATATCCTGGTAGACCATGTAGATTGTCATAAATAAGGTCCTATAAGAGGCTTATAAACATGTTGGACATATTGACTACTTGTGGCAAATAGCTCATTATAAAAAGGATTTGCACTTTTTTTGTTTGTTTTTTGTTTGTTTGTTTTTGAGACGGAGTCTCACCCTTGTCGCCCAGGCTGGAGTGCAGTGGCACGATCTTGGCTCACTGCAATGTCTGCCTCCCAGGTTCAAAATATTCTTATGCCTTATAGCTGGGATTACAGGCCACCACACCTGGCTAAATTTTGTATTTTTAGTAGCGACGGGGGTTTCATCATTGTTGGCCAGGCTGGGATTTGCACATTCTTAATGTCCACACCTTATCTACACATATACAAGTATAATATACTTCTATATAAAATATCTTTCTGCTTTTTCAAAGAATAAAAGAGAAAAAGAAACTTTGAGAGTATTTGAAAATGCATTCCTAAATTCCTACCAGGTTTTGTAACCCCACAAATTCTGTTTTCTCATAATAGCTGTTCTGTATACCTCTCACAAAGTTATCTGAAAGTTCAAATGAAATAACAAATGTGAAAAATGCTATTTGTTAACAATGGTGGAAAACATAAAGTAGATAAAAAACCCATAGCACCAAAATGCTGTATCTACAATTATGTCTCTACAATTCATGCTGACAGCACAAACCAAGATATGAAGATCACTGTTCACAAAGAATAGCTTTACACCTCTATTCAAAATATATTACATCATGGCAAAAGGCTAGAGACTTAGCATTAGGTCTTTAAACAACAGAAGGATCAAGAACAAAAATGTATTCCACGCCAATTATGAATGTATTGGGTAATATTAATTAATCCATGCATTGAACAAGATAGCTTTTGAGTACAATATGCCAAGGCATTATTTCATACACATGGTAATTAATCTTTCTGAACTCGAGATCCATCTTAAAAATATGAAGGGAAATGATTTAGTCTGGTTCAGAAGTGGGCTGTATTCTGAGTTCTAACTTCTCTAAGAAATAGGCATTTGGGAGAACATACTAAAAACAGAGCCATCTCTGTATAAAGAAAATACTTCCATTTAGAAGGTACTGAAAATAAGCATATGGTATTAACAGCATTTTGAAGATAATTTTTTTAAACTGAGAACTCTATTTTAGAGGTTTACATGATTTTTAATGAAATACCAAAACTCATGCATCCCACAAATCTCCAATTCCTGGAATTTTTTTCGTAATACAATTTGAGAAGATAATAAAACATTTGACTGCCTAATTTCCTGGGGAATATAAAGATATATTTGTTTTCCATAGATTTTCAATCAGAAAACCACTTACCACACCACCAAGATGAATCACACAGACTATTTCATTTGGCAGTTAGTTATATCTTCTTTAATTTTAAAAAATTGCTTGCCAAGGTTGGGTGTAAATTATGATAAACACTATGTCTGTCTACTCCTTCGGGGTTGTGTCATCGTTTTGGTTGAATTCTATTAGCTACACTTTGCACTCGGTAGTTGTTATGTCTGAAGACACACAAGTATGCTTTGGCTCCCCAGTATATATTTTCTTCAAAACTATCATGCAAATGATGAAAGAAATACTATTTTGAGATTCTATAGTTTACTATGTACCACATGGTCTGTTTCAAAAGATCACAGAAATCATTCTTGCAACAGATAATCTACAGAGGAAATGTGCAGGTTTTAGGTCAGTGCTTTCTGTCATTGTTTCACTCTGAGACTTAACTAGATTCAAGTGTTTAGTGAAATTTGCAAAAAGAAACAGGCTCATACTATTTGATGCCCATAGGGGAAAGAGCCTTGTCTAAAATTAGCTTTTTAAAACAGATGCATCCATAGACACAAATTAAAAGAATCATTTTAAAAAGAGTGATTGAATGGAAAATTCAGGCTCTGTTTGCCAAAGCTAAAAAGCACTGTTTAGTCATGAAAATAGCTTGAATTTCCATGTAAATTTATTATTTTCAAAATATTTCATAAACGCTATCTCATTTAATCCTTAACAATCACTTCCACATGTAACTAGGGTATGTGCAACAATAATATAAATAATAAAATGAGAACAATCAATATTCTTTCTATGTGCCAGTCTCCTTTCTGCACGCCTAAAAATAAATTTTATCATTAAATAAATTTAATAATTAATTTAATTACTCTTTGAGTTACTCTGTGAGTTAGGTACTATTTATATCACCATAAAAAAGTGAAGAAAAGGGAGATTAAATAACTTGTCCAAGAAAACAAAACTAGTAAGTGGAGGAGCCAGACATTCTACTAATGTCACCTCAATGATAGGCCAGCTAGGCTAGACTCGTTTAGTTATTTTGACAAGTATATATATATTTTTGGATATATTTTTAAGATTAAAGAAAGAAAAAGATACTTCAGAGACTTTCATCTACTGATTAAACTGAGAATAAATCAACAACATTTTAGTCTAATGTGCTTTCATCTCTAGTAATGATCACTCTTCAATTTTCTAATTTAGTTTTTTAATTGACAGATATAATTGTATATATTTACCATGTAGAACATATTCTTCTGGAGTAAGACACATTGTGGGGAATAAATAAATCTAGCCAGTTAACATATGTATTACCTCACAGTTATCTTTTTTGTGGAGAAAAAAAACCTTACATCCATTCTTTTAGGGTTTTTCAAGAATACAATATATTGTTTAATATAGTTACCAAGTTATACAATAGACCTCTTAAACCTCTTTCTCCTATCTGAAATTTTGAATCCTTTGAGCAAGATATACCAGCCTCCCTTCCCTAACCATTTCAGCCCCTGATAACAAACGTGAGATAAACTTTGTTAGGTTCTACATATGAATAAAATCATTTGATAGTTGTCTTTCTGTGCCTAATTTATTTCACTTAACATAGCATTCTTCAGGTCCGTTCATATTGTCCCATATTACAAAATTACCTTCTGTTTTAGGGCTGAATAGTGTATATATACCAGATTTTTTTTATCCATCCATTCATTTATTGATGGACATTTAGGTCGATTCCATATCATGGCAGTTGTGAGTAATGCTATAATAAACAAAGGAATGCAGATATCTCTTTGACATACTCATTTCATTTGCTTTGCACATGTATTCAGTAGTGGAATGGCTGGATCATGTGGAAGATTTATTGTTAATTTTTTAAGGAACCTCCATTCTGTTGCCATAATGGCTGCACCACATTATATTTCCACCAAAAGTGGAACAAAAAATGTTCTCTTCTTGCCACATCCTCATCAATACTCATTATATTTTGTATTTTTTATAATACCCATTATAATAAGCATGTATGTAGTGTTAATTTTCATTTCCCTGATGATTAGTAATACTGAGCATTTTTTCATTTCCTTGTTGACCATCTTCATGTCCTCTGTAGAGAAATGTCTATTCAGGACCTCTGTCAATCTTTTACTTGGGTTATTTGTTCTCTTGCTATTGAGTTACTTAAGTCCCTTATATATTTTGAATACTACCCCTTATCAGATGTGTAGTTTGCAATTTTTTTCTCTTCCCTATATTGATTTTTGTTTCTGTGCAGAAGAGTTTTAGTTTGATGTAACTTCATCTGTCTATGCATACTTTTCTTGCCTATGCCGATATTGTCATGTCCAAAAAATTATTGCCCGAGCTAATATCATGGAACTTCATCCATATGCTTTCTTCTAGAAGTTCTATAGCTTTGGGTCTTACAATTAAGTTTTTAATCCATTTTGAGTGATCTTTGTGTATCATGAGAGTTAAGAGTCTAATTTCATTCTTCTGAATACAGATATCCAGTTTTTCTAACACCATTTATTGAAGTGTCTGTCCTTTCCTCATTGTGTGTTCTAGGAGGCTTTGTTGGAAATCAGTTAACTGTAAATGCACGAATTTATTTCTCAGCTCTCTGTTATCTTCCATTGATCTCTGTGTCTGTTTGATGCCACTGCCATACTGTTTTGATTTCTATAGCTTTGTAGTATATTTTGAAGACAGGTAAAGTGAAGCTTCCAGATTTGTTATTTTATTCAAGATTATTTGGCATTTGGGGGTCTTTTGTTGTTCTGCATGAATTTTAGGATTGTTTTCTTCTAATTCTGTTAAAAAACATTGCTATTTTGGCAGAAATTGCATTGAATCTGTAGATCTCTTTGGGTAGTAGGACATTTTAATAATATTAATTATTTTAATATATTAATACATATCTCCCTATTTATTTGTGTCTTTTCAGTGTCTTTCATTGGTGTTTTCTGGTTTTTAGTGAAGAGATCTTTCACCTCCTTAGAAATTTATTCCCAAGTGTTTTACATTTGTTAACTACTGTAAATTGGATTGATTTCTTGATTCTTTTTTCAGATAATTTGTTGTTAATGTGTGGAAATGCTACTGATTTTTGTATGTTGAGTTGTGTCCTGCAACTTTCCTAAATTCATTTATTAGTTCTAAGTTTTTGATGGAGTCTTTAGGTTTTTCTACATGTAAAATTACATCATCTGCAAACAAGAATAATTTAATTTCTTTCTTTCCAATTTGGATGCCTTTTTTTCTTGCCTAATTTCTTTGGCGAGGACCTCAAGTACTAAGATAAATAGATGTGATAAGAATGGGCATCTTTGCCTTGTTCCAGATCTTAGAGGAAAAATTTTCAACTTTTTCCCATTGAATCTGATGTTAGCTGTGGGTTTGTCATGTATGGCCTTTATTGAGGTATGTTTCTCTTGTATCTAATCTGTTGAAAGTTTTTTATTATAAAAGTATG
Source organism: Homo sapiens (assembly GCF_000001405.40). Lineage (NCBI taxonomy): Eukaryota > Metazoa > Chordata > Mammalia > Primates > Hominidae > Homo > Homo sapiens. The sequence continues at coordinate 85,785,150 of NC_000007.14, forward strand.
TTGAATTTTGTTAAGGCTGTTTCTGCCTGATTGAAGTAATCATGGATTTTGTCTTTCATTCTGTTAATGTGATATAACACATTTATTGATTTGCATATGATGAAACATTCGTGCATCACTGGGATGAATCCCACTTTACCATGGTGAGTGATTTCTTAAATGTGTTGTTGAATTTGGTTTGGTAGTGTTTTGTTAAGAATTTTTACATCTTTTTTCATCAGGGATATTTGTCTATATTTGTCTAATAATGATCACCTTAACACACTTATCAAAATGTTCATGAGTGTTTCCTGATACAGATTCAAGACTGTACCCTTCTGTAAGTGCAGTGTTTTTATAAAGTAGATGAGTAATCAGGGACCATCTTTCCCCTGATATCCATTTTTGGCCGTAAGACTGGTTTGCACAAATAAAGTGTAACCCAAGGTGATTTGGAAGAAACCTTTTCTACCATCTGTTTTCCCATATGTCTATTAGAAATGGATGACCAGGGAAAATTTTGAAAGCTTTTGTTAAGGTTGGAAGACCTGCTAGCCAATTTGGACTATCCATTTTGAAATTTCATGAATGGTATGCCACGATTTTGGATTATGAATTTTGGGAATTTCTTTAAGATTTTAATTAACCTAGCTTATACAAAAGCCTATTCAGTGAGTTACAATTTTAAAAGTCAAAAAATAAACACATTTCAAGTTACAAAAATTATATAACTTTTGTATTTGTATAGATGAGGCAGGGTGGGAAAGGGGTTTTCTATTCTTGTTTATCTTTCTGGGCTTTTGAAACTCTCTTATTTTTCTACCAGCTCAGCCATGCAATTAAAGAGATATGATACTCTATCTTTAGAATTACTTCTAAAATATGAAAATGATAATGTATAATTCCAAACTAGTAGATAAAAATAAAAAAATCTATCAAACAGGTGACAGAAAACAAGTATAATAAAAATATAGAAAAAGCCTAAGGATTAGATAGTAGGAAAAATTCTAATATATCAGTAATTTCAGGACATTTACTTCCCAAGGAAAAAAAAAACTTCTGTATCTAGCAATATGGAAAACTGGATGTCCAGATAAACTTTCCAAATAAAGAATATGTTAAAGTATTTGATGAAACATTAACTATGGAGGGTTGTTAAATAATACCAATGAAAATGGTTCAAATTCTTTGAATTCCCACATAAAAAAAGACTAAAAGTATTTAGCAAAAACAAAAACTCATGGATAATGTTTACAATGAATCTAAGTGGCAAGTTTTTCCTATGAGTTCAAATATATAAGTAGGTTGAATATATGAAAAGCACAAAATTTGCATGGCATCCATATCGGTGAGGCAGAAACCAAGGGAAACTATAATGCATCTGACAGACCTGAAAGCAGTAGACATCTCTGCGGGTTATCTTGATACCAGTTGTTGAAATGGTGGTGGTGGTAGAGGAGAGGGAGGAGCATTGCCCAATGAAATAGTGTATTGGTGCAAGGGCTCCATAGTAAGCACTGAAGGACTAGATAAGCCTAGCCTTTAAGATCTCCCCAAACTGACTAAATTCTTCCCAAGACAGAACAACACACAGAGAAAAAATTGCTGAGAGTACAGGAAAAAGTTATAAGAATGAAATATAAACAACAAAGAGAAAGAAAAGAAAAAGTCCAGACAAAAGTGGAGTAAAGGTAGGAGACCCAGAAAATCTGAGAAAGTGAGTTACTATTTGCTTAGACTATTAAAAAACAACAGAAAATGGAACTCTGCAGGTAGGACAGTCCCTGATCCAAGACATTTAAAAACTTAAGAAAAACACATTTTTAAAAATAAAAATAAGAAACAGATAATTGTCAAGGTCAAATCCCAACATGTGTATTATTTTTATAGAAAAGATAATTAAGGCCGGTTGTGGTAGCTCACATCTGTAATCCTAATTCTTTGGGAGGCCCAGGCAGGTGGATCCCTTGAGGCCAGGTGTTTGAGACCAGCCTGGGCAACATGGTGAATCCCCATCTATACTAAAAATACAAAAATTAGCGTGGTGTGGTGGTGCACACCTGTAATTCCAGCTACTCAGGAGGCTGAGGCAGAAGAATTGCCTGAATCCGAGAGGTGGAGTTTGCAGTGAGTGGAGATCACACCACTGCACTCTAGCCTGGGCAACAGAGTGAGACTCTGTCTCAAAAAAAAAAAAAAAAGAAAAAAAAAAAAAAAGAAAGAAAGAAAGAAAGAAAGAAAAAAAGAAATAAAGAGATAATTAGGTGTAAAATAATATCCACACAGAAAATAAAAATTTTAAGATGGGTTTTAAGCCATTTAAAAATGATATATAACAGAGCAAAATAAATGGGAATGAGAAGAAAACAGAAATAAGGTGCTACAACTTGGGGGAAAAAAAACAGAAATAAAAGAAAAATCACCTTATAAATGACAACCAGGAGAAACACAGGTAAATAGATATAACATAAAATAAAAATGCCTTCTGTGATTTAGAAGATTAAAAAGGACGATTTAAAAAATCAAAATAAATAAAGAGACAAGAATTGAATAAAAAGTAAGTATTGAAGCTGGGCAAAGATGATCTAAAAAATGTATTAAAAAAAACTTTCCTGAAGTTAAAAAAATGGAAATTCATAACGAAAAAAGTTCATTTTTATACCAAAAAAAGCACATTAAATACCTAAGAATCTTGATCTAGAATGACAAAACTCAAGACATACTCTAATAAAGTATTGAACTTAATATATTAAAACAAAAGCTCATTTGAGCACTGAGACAAAAACAGTAAGTAACTTACATAGGATAGAAAATTAGATTGTCATTAGACCTTTCACCAGCAATGCTTTTGTCAGAAAAATAGAGTAACATATTTAATATACTCAATATAAGAAGATAAATGACTTACCAGTATAACAGCATGAGCAAACTATAATCAACATGGAAGAATTCAGGGAATTATTGGGCCTTCCTGGGAAATCTACTAGGAAATAGTCTTCAGGCAACCAAAATGGGTACACAGGCATCAATATGAGAAGAGTGGTAAGAATTAAACATAGAGTTATCTATAGAATTATAATTGAAGAAAGGTTAAACATGAAGAACAGTATGCAATAACTCTATGCTTAGTCAATATAGATATAGCACAACTATTAAACCTGAGGGAAATTGGAAAAGCATATGCAAAAAAAAACTCTTCTCAGTAATTGCATATGTGATGTGTATATTGTTTTTCTGATAAAGTTGTGTATACTTTTAGATAAATTAAAATAATGGTTATAGAATATACAAAATTTGTTACCTCTGGTGCACTAGAGAACTTAAATTATCTGTGTAAAAGAAGGGAGATATAAATGTAATAGAGCAGATAATATACAAAAAGACCTGTGGCCCTAAATTTGAGTGGAAGTATTAGTAAGATCTCATGAAGCATAATACATTCTAAAAATGTGTATTCATTGACTGTCTATCCATATCTATCTACCTATCTATTCATCTAGCCATCAACCTATCTCCTTAGCTCAGTCAACTCCAGAGGCCCATATAGTATGACCAACCTTGTATCAATAAACATCCTTATTACCCAGATTGAGGTTTTAATTACTTATACCACTAAGGACAGTGAGTACCTCTCACAGAAATAGCTGATTCCAGTTTCGGAGTGGGCAATGTCCAAGAAAAACATGGAATATGGTGTCACACAGGATAGAGACAAAGGTATCAAAAACTTCCAGGGTCACATTTAAAAGAAACAAAAGCCAATTCAAAGAGGTCACTCATGCTAAAACCAGAACAATTTGAATTTAATTTTGAAAGTGATAATAATTACAACTGATAAAAAACAGTCATATATGTTGGGATGCATATTATTCATCTCAAATTATGTAAATAACATCCAATTATGTTTCAGATTTTAAACTTTTTTTTTCATTCTAGATAATTAAAATGGAGTTCAGATCTTAACTTTTTGTTTAAATTGTTAACACTGAAGGAAACATATATTTTGTCTTTTTTAAATCTTGGAATAAAGTTGAGAAATCATGTGAAAAAGACGCTAAAATGACTAAATAATTGCTACAAGACTTCTCCAAATGACCACAGTTTGAGTGATAGGTAAATTTTTATGAGGTTTTTAGGGAGTCCTAGGGGGTGAGGGAGGGAGGAGAGCAACGACTGAAAAAGTATACATTGGGTACTATGCTCACTACCTGGGTGACAGGATCAGTTGTACCCCAAACCTCAGCATCATGCAATATACCCATGTAACAAATCTGCACATGTGCCCTCTGAATCTAAAATAAAAGTTGAAATTAAAAAACAAACTGGTCAGGGGAAAAAATAAAGTTTTCCTTATATTAAAAAAGATAAAGAGAGTTAGGGTAGGTCAAAAAGAGAAGGGATTAAAGATCTGCTCCTAGGTTACTCTAATATTCAATTAGGGAGATAAAGACGGAGCAAACAAAGGCATTGGGATGGATTGGGAAGCTGGGAAGTGGAGTGGTAAGATTCAGGAGATGGTTGTGACCTTGAAGCTGATAGCAATTTCAAGGAAGAAAAGATGACAATTTTTTCAAATGCTGGAAATAAGTATTTACTTGACCAAGTAAGTTGAGGTCTGAGAACTGACAACTGGATTTAATGAGATAGTGTTTGTTGTTGACCTAGTAGAACAGCAATTTTGTTGAAATAGCAGAGCAGAGGCATAATTGAAAATGTTTCGAAAGAAAATGAGAAAAGAAGAAATAGAAGACATGTACCTCCAGCACTTTCTGGAGAAAGCTGTGGGGCCAAAGGAGATGTATGTTTTTATTTGATTTGAAAAGAAAAGAATAGAAAGAGAAAAATCTCAATAAGAAATACAAGTTTTATTGTCTAAAGTGTTGTTTTGTAATTGTTTGAAAATAGTCAATAACTCTGAAGACAATATGAAGACATCTTGATTTTGAGATTAACTTATTGCCTCAGTATGATATTTATGGCTCAATTAACATAAGAGTTAATTGACTTAATGACTGACAAATCTTGTCTCTTTCTCGTTTTTAACAAAAGCTATCCAAACTTTATTTTTTATTAATCTAGATAGCTATCAATGGAAAAGTCACACCTGCATATTATCTGTTTTTCAATACTTTAAAGTGTTTTGTTTAAAAAGCTTCATTGAGAGTAACAGTGTTTCTATTTTCTTAAAGCAAAGGGATTTGAAGTTTCCATTAAGATTTTTTTATCTAAGTCACTGAACTATACATCTCTTTCCCTCAAGCTTTATTGGATAGAATTACATAATAAAGTATGTTGATACATATGAATTCACCCAAATATATGTACCATTTCCTTTTCTTTGTATCATATGCCAAATTACTATTTTACTCACCCAAAAACTCTCTATATAGAATAGTCTGTTCCACTCACGACCCAAGAAAAGTATATATCAATTATAATGCTATTTTTCTTGTGCCAAATCTTCATTACTACCATCTACAACTAAAGATGAAGTAATAACATACATATCTCATTTCAGACCTCATTACTTAATGCATTATGATATTCAAGTGCTTATGCTTTCTCAATTATTCACATTTCATGAAAGCATTCAAGTCTTGCCAAAGTCTTCGAGTCTTAGGAAATCCCATGAGGGATTATAAATTGGATGAAACTAATGAAACTTCAGTGTTTTTATATACTTAAAACTACATTTTCTGCCAGGCTCTGGAATATTTAATCATTGTTGAAAGGATAGGGATCTACCTGAAACAGTCTTCCTAGAAATTAAATGAAGGGTTGGATCATTCTAAGATGGCTGAATAGTAACAGTTCCAGTCTGCAGCTCCCAGCATGACTGACCCAGAAGATGGGTGATTTCTGCATTTCCAACTGAGGTACATGGTTCATCTCACTGGGACTGGTTGGACAGTGGGTGCGGCCCACCAAGGGTGAGCCAAAGCAGGAGGGAGTGTTGCCTCACCTGGGAAGTGCAAGGGGTTGGGGGATTTCCCTTTCCCAGCCAAGGGAAGCTGTAACAGACGGTACCTGGAAAATTGGGACACTCCCACCCCAATACTGCACTTTTCCAAAGGTCTTAGCACATGGCTCACCAGGAGATTATATCCTGTGTCAGACTTGGCAGGTCCCACACCCACAGAGCCTTGCTCACTGCTAGCACAGCAGTCCAAGATCAAACTGCAAAGCAGCAGCCTGGGCTGGGGGAGGGGCGTCCACCATTGCTGAGGCTTGAGTAGCTAAACAAAGCAGCCGGGAAGTTCGAACTGTCTGGAGCCCACTACAGCTCAAGGAGGCCTGCCTGCTTCTGTATACTCCACCTCTGGGGACAGGGCATAGCTGAACAAAAGGCAGCAGAAACTTCTGCAGACTTAAACATCCCTGTCTGATAGCTCTGAAGAGAGCAGTGGTTCTCCCAGGATGGAGTTTGAGCTCTTGAGAACTGACAGACTGCCTCCTCAAGTGGGTCCCTGACCCCTGTGTAGCCTAATTGGGAGACAACTGCCAGTAGGGGCCGGCTGACACCTCATACAGCTGGGTGTCCCTCTGAGATGAAGCTTCCAGAGGAAGGATCAGGTAGCAATATTTGCTGTTCTGCAGCCTTCGCTGGTGATACCCAGGCAAACAGGATCTGGAGTGGACCTCCAGCAAATTCCAACAGACCTGCAGCTGAGGGTCCCGACTGTTAGAAGGAAAACTAACAAACAGAAAGGAATAGCATAACATCAACAAAAAGGACATCCACACCAAAACCCAAAGGATTATAGCTTAACAGCTATCCATACAAGAAAGCACCCTCATAAGAACAAAAAATCAGGTAAGTAATCACAATACCTGGTTTTAACATCATAGCAAGGAAAGAGGCATTGAAGAGAATAAGAAAGAGAGTACTGAATTGCTGACAGCAACCCTCTTTCATCCCCAGCAGTGACCACATGGCACTGAGAGAGATTCTGTATATTTGAAGGAGGAAGAGTGTAGTCATGTCGGACTTTGCTTTGGAATCCAGTGCTGCCTGTCACAGCAGAAAGCAACAAGGGGCAGAATGCAGCTGACATCAACAAATGGATCATTCAGACCAGCCATAGCAGAGGGGAATTGTCCATCCCGGCAGCTGGAACCCCATCACTGAAAGATAAAGCACTCTGGGGTCCTAATAAACTTGAAAGGCAGTCTAGGCAACAAGGACTGAACATCCTGGAAAGTCCCGATGCTGTGCTGGGATTGGAGCCAGTAGACTTCTGGTGTATGTGACCTAGTGATGTACCTGCTGGAGAAGCCAAGGAAGTGCTTGCATCACTTCTCCCTCAACCATAGGCAATGCAGCTTGCAGCTCCAGGAAAGACACTTTCCTTCTGCTTCAAGAGAGGAGAGGAAATAATAAAGAGGCTCTTGCTTGCAACTTGGATACCAGCTCAGTCAAAGTACAATAAAGCACCAGGAAAAGTCCTGAGGCCCCAATTCCAGGCCCTAGCTTCCAGATGACATTTCTAGACACACCCTGGGCCAGAAGGGAACCCAGTGTCTTGAAGGGAAGAAACCAGTTACAGCAGGATCCATCACCTGCTGACTAAAGAGTCTTTGGGCCATGAATAAACATCAAAGATAGCCAGACAGTACATGGGCCTTGGGTGAGACTCGGTACCATGCTGGCTTCAGATGTGATCCAGCACACTCTGAGCTGTGGTAGCCACAGGGAGAGACAGATTCAGCTTGAGCAAAGGAGTGGGAAGAGCAAAGGGGACTTTGTCTTGTAGCCTGGGTACCAGTGAACCCACAGTGAAGTAGAGCACCAAGTGGGCTACTGTTGTCCCCAGTTCCAGGCCTTAGCTCCTGGAAGGCATTTTTTGACGAACCCAGGTTGAGAAGGAAGCCCATTGCCATGAAGAGAGAGATATAGGCCAGAAGCATTTGCCATTAGCTGATTATAGAGCACTTGGGACTTGAGTGAACATTAGTGGTAGCCGGGAGGAGGTCACCATGGGCCTTGGGTGAGACCCAGTGCCATGATGGCTTCAGGTCTTACCCAGCACAGCCCCAGTGGTGGTGGCCACAGTGCTGCTTTTGTCACCCTTCTCTTAGCTCCAGGCAGCTGAGCATGGAGAGAGAAACTCAAATTTTTTTTTTTTTTGTCAAAAAATAGGGGAAGGAACAAGAGTCTCTGCATGGTAACTCAGGGAATTCTTTCAGATTGTACCCAAGACCACCAAAGCAGTACCTCTATGAGTCTGCAAGAGTTACAGTGTTACTGGACTTGGGGTGCCATCTAATACAGATATGGCTGTAGTGACCAAAGACTTAGATCACAACAATCAATTCCCATGAATACCTGGAAAGCCTTTCAAAGGCTTGTTCCTTGTACAAACAAGCCCAGACTGTGAAGACTACAATAAATAACTAGTTATTCAGTGCCCATATACCAACAAGCATCAAGGCCATCCAGGAAAACATGACCTCCCCAAATGAACTAAATAAGACAACAGTGACCCATCACAGAGTGATAGAGATATGTTACCTTTCAGACAGAGAACTCAAAATAGCTGTTTTGAAGAAGCTCAGTAAAACTCGAGATAACACAGAGAAGGAATTCAGAATCCTAATAGACAAATTTAACAAAGAGAATGAAATATTTTTGAAAATAAAACAGAAATTATAAAGAAATTGAAAAATTCTATTAACATGCTGAAGAATGCATCAGAGTTTCTCAAAAGCAGAATTGATCAAGCAGAGGGGAGAATTAGTGAGCTGGAAGACAGGCTATTTGAAAATACACAGTCCAATACATCTGGCAGCTCCAGATATAAAGTAGCTCCAATACATCTGGCAGCAGACATTTCAGTGCAAACCTTACAGGCCAGGAGAGAGGGGCAGGACATATTTAAAGGGCTGAAGGAAAAAAATAACAAAAATAAACAAACAAAATGTATTCTAGAATAGTAAATCTAGCAAAATTGCCCTTCAAACATAAGGAAGAAATAGACTTTCCCAGACAAACAAAAGCTGAAGGATTTCATCAATACCAGACAAGTCCTAAAATAAATGCCAAAGAGAATTCTTCAATCTGAAAGAAACGCACATTAAAAAGCAGTAAGAAATCAACTGAAGGTATTAATAGAAAACTCACTGGTAGTAGTAAGTAAACAGACCAAAATAGAATACTAAATATAACACTGTGATTGTGGTGTATAAACTACTCAAACATTGAGAAGAATGACTTATAGATGAAGGTACCAAAAAGAGCTGGAAAAACTTTTTAAGATACAGACAGTATAATAAGTTATAAATAGAAACAAGAAAAACCTAAAGGGGAGGGGATGAAGTTAAAATGTATAGTTTTTATTAGTTTTCTTTTTGCTTGTTTGCTTATTTTTATAATCAGTGTTAAGTTGTTATCAGCTTAAACTAATTGGTTATAAGATGTTGTTTTCAAGCATCATGACAACCTCGAGTAAGAGAAAACAGTAAAACAGATACAAACAAATAAAAACACGAAATTAAAACATACCACCAGAGAAAATCACCTTCAGAAAAAAAGAGAAGAGAGGATTACATAACAACTAGAAAACAAATAACCAAATGGCAGGATTAAGTCCTTAGTTATCAATAATAATCTTGAAGGTAAATGAACCAAACTCTCCAATTAAAAGACATAGAGTAGCCAAATGGATAAAAAAGCAAGACTGCCTACATTGAACCAGGAAGAAATCCAAAACCCGAACAGACCAATAACAAGTAATGAGATCAAAGCCATAATAAAAAAGGTTTTCAGGAAAGGCAAACCCAAGACCTGATGGCTTTACTGTTAATTTGAGCAAATATTTAAATAACTAATACCAATCCTACTCAAACTTTCCAACAAATTGAGGCAGGAAACTTTCAAACACATTCTATGAATTCAGTATTGCCCTGATAGCAAAACCAGACAAATACACATCAGAAAAAGAAGACCACAGGCCACTATTACTGATGAACATTGATGCAAAAATCCTCAACAAAGCACTAGCCAACCTAATTCAATAAGAAAGTGTACATATCATTCATCATGACCAAGTAGGATTTATCCCTGGAATGCAAGAATGGTTCAACATAAGCAAATCAATCAATGATACGTGATATCAACAGAATGAATAACAAAAGCCATATTATCATTTTAATTGATGCCAAAAAATTTTTAATAAATTTCAACATCTCTTTATGATAAAGGCCCTAAAAATGGGATGTAGAAGAAACATACCTCAATACAATAGAAGCCATACATGATAGGCTCACAACTAGTATGATATTGAATGGGGGAAAACTTAAATTCTTTCCTCTAAGATCTGGAACACAAGGATTCACACTTTCACCACTGTTATTCAACATAGTACTGGAAGTTCTAGCTAGAGCAATCAGACAAAAGAAAGATATAAAAGTCATCCAGATTGGAGTGGAAGAATTCAAATTATCCCTGTTTACAGGTGATATGATCTTATATTTGGAAAATCATAAATAATCCACCAAAAAAATTAAAACTGATGAACCAATTCAGTAAAGTTCCAGAATACAAAATTTATGTATAAAAATTAGTAGCATTTATATATGCCAGCAGCGAACAGTCTGAAAAAGAAATCAAGAAATTTATCACATTTGCAATAGTTACACATAAAATTAAGTACCTAGGAATAAACTCAACCAAAGAGGTGAAAGATCACTATAATAAAAACTATAAAACATTGAAACAAAAAATTAAGGAGGACATAGGAAATAGATATTTCATGTTTATAAACTGGAAGAATGAATATTGTTAAAATGTCCATGCTATCCTCAAAAATATACAAATTAAATGCAATCCCTACCAAATTAACAATGATGTTCTCACAGACGTAGACAAAAAATTCTAAATTTATATGTAACCACAAAAGACCCAAAATAGCAAAAGCCAGTCTGAGCAAAAATAACAAAACTGGAGGAATCACATTACCCAACTTTACTTGACAGAGCTATTGTAACTAAAACAGCATGGCACAAGCATAAAAACGACACATGGACCTATAGAACAGACTAGAGAACCCGAGAACCTAGAAAGAAATAAATTTACATACCTACAGCTAACTGATTTTCAACAAAGGTGTCAAGAATATACATTAAGGAAAGTAGTCTCTTTAATAAATGATACTGAGAAAACAAGACAGCTATGTGCAGAAGAATGAAACTAGATTGCTATCTCTCACCATATACAAAAATCAAATCAAAATGTATTAAAGACTTAAATCTAAAACCTGAAGTATGAAACTACTGAAAAAAAAGATTGGGGAAACTCTCCAAGTCACTGGGTGGCAAAGATTTCTTGAGTAATACCCCACAAGCACAGGGGTATTGCCTATCCAAAGCAAAAATGGGCAAATGAGATCAGATAAAGTAAAAAAGCTTATGCACAGGAAAGAAAAAAAAATCAACGAAGTGAAGAGACAACACACACAAGGGGAGAAAATATTTGCAAACTATCCATCAGACAAGGGATTGATAACCAGAATATATGAACAGCTCAAACAGCTCAATAGGAAAAAAATCTAATAAACAGAATAAAAAATGGGCAAAAGATGTGAATAGACATTTCTCAAAAGAAGACATACAAGTATATAAAATGGTACTCTCCATCAATGATCAGCAGAATAATTTAAATCAAAACTACAATGAGCTATCATCTCACCCCAGTTAAAATAGCTTTTATCCAAAAGACAGACAATAACTAATGTTTGTGAGCACGTGGAGGAAAGGAAACCCTTATACAATATTGGTGGGAATGTAAATTAGTATAGTCACTATGGAGAAGAGAAGGGATGCTCTTAAAATATTAAAAATAGAACAACTGTATGATCCAGCAATCCCACTGCTAGGTATATGCTAAAACAAAAGGAAATCAATATGTCAAAGATATATCTGCACTCTCATCTTTATTGAAACACCACTATCTATTCAAATAGCTGAGACTTGGAAGCAACCTAAATGTTCATCAACAGATAATGGATTGAGAAAATGTGGTACATATATACAATGGAGTACTATTCAACCATCAAAAGGAATGAGATCCTGTCATTTGCAACAACATGGATGGAACTGGAGGACATTATGTTAAGTGAAATAAGCAGGACACGGAAAGTCAAGCTTCACACATTCTCACTCACTTTTGGGAGCTAAAAAGTAAAACAATTGAACTCACGAAGATAGATGGTAGAGTGGTGGTTACCAGAGGCTGGGAAGGGAAGGTGAGGATGGTTAATGGGTTCAAAAATATAGTTAGATAGAATGAATAAGATCTAATAGTATTTGATAGCACAATAGGGAGATTATAGTCAACAATAATTTATTGTATATTTTCAGATAACTGAATGAGTATAATTGGAATGTTTGTAATAGAAAAAATGATAAATGCTTAAGGTAATGGATATCCCATTTACCTTGTGATTATTACACATTGTAAATCTGTATCAAAACACCTCATGTACCCCATTAATATATACATATGCTATAATTTAGTGATCTAATAAAATTTTATTGTTCTCCACTTTTCTCGTGTAATCAACTTACTCTTTCTTTTACCTAGCTATGATTTCATGACTCCTACATATAATCTCAGCTACCTTGGCCAATCCAGACTAGTTGTACTTCTTTGGGATAATATTGACTCTTGTTGAATTCATTTCTCTGTTTAATGTATGGGGTACCAATACACCTAAACATGTCTAGAGTCATATAGACATACTTCATGCTCTTGTTTTACAACAGTATCTTTATTTCAGCTAACACTGATACAAGGCTACATTTTCAGACCAACACTGACAGGAAAAGAAACTTAAAATATTGTGTAAACATATGCAAAACAAAACAGGACTACTAGGACCTTTTGATAGGATAGTGAAAATTTTGCTTTTTTTTTTGAGACGGAGTCTCGCTCTGTCGCCCAGGCTGGAGTGCAGTGGCGCGATCTCGGCTCACTGCAAGCTCCGCCTCCCAAGTTCACGCCATTCTCCTGCCTCAGCCTCCCGAGTAGAGTAGCTGGGACTACAGGCACCCGCCACCACGGCCGACTAATTGTTTTGTATTTTTAGTAGAGACAGGGTTTTACTGTGTTAACCAGGATGGTCTCGATCTCCTGACCTCGTGATCCGCCCGCCTTGGCCTCCCAAAGTGCTGGGATTACAGGCATGAGCCACCGCGCCCGGCTGGATAGTGAAAATTTAAAGATCAAAGCAGCAACCTAAAGAGGTTGCTTTTACTCTACACATATTTGTTAGTTATGAGAATGTGAAATGAAATCGTGAGGGCTCAAAGGGTAAAGGGGATCTATATCCAACCCAATGACCACCCGCTTCCAAAGCAGACAGGCTGCTCAACAACCATAAGTAATGTAAACAAGAAACATTCATTCTTTACCTTTCAGTGAAATTATGAATTATTGTTCTTTCAGCAAATGTTGCTGTGGTCCTGGTTTGAGTCGGGGGAAAATTAAAAATGAAAAAAGGAAAAAGAAAAGTCAAACCGTTTACTCAAGAGATTGTGAACAATTGGGAACATATCACATGAATTTTCACTCAAATTTGCTTGATTGACTGGTCCAAGATTCTCCAAGCATGGATTTGCAGTTTTTCCACTTGGTAGTATCTCAAGCATTTGGAAAAAGCAAATGTAAATCTAAATACTTTCTGGAAGAGATATCTTTATTTTAAGCTTTAGGTTTCCCCTGAAGCCATTGTTAAAGGTCATTAAATAGCACCAGGCAAACAAAACCATGCACACAAGCAAACTCACTAAAACTAACCCCAAACAGTAATATATAAGATATGGAATTAGTGAAAAATATTAGATACTGAAATTATTAGAACAGATACCAAAATTATGTATATATTATACTTTTTAAAGAAATTAAAGAAAAATAATAAAATATAGAGAACCAGAAACTATAAAATGACTGCAGATTTAAAAATAACAACATATAACATTGAGAAATAAAGACAACAAAAATTAAACTAAAAATCAAAATGAAAGGATTAAAATTAAATATTCAGTAAAAAGTTGGAATTAATTGGACAGATCTGACAATAAAATTTATGAACTTTTAATAAATCAGAATTTATTCAAAAATTAGCATAAAGCTACAAAAGTCATAAAATATAGAAAAAAATAGTAAAATATATGGAAGACTCAGTGGAAAAGTCTATCATACATTATTAGAGTACTTAGAGTAAGAAACCTTAAATTATACACTGGAAATTAAAAAACGAAAGAAATGGCATGCCATAGCAGCAAGAGAAAAATGGTCTCTTCAAAAAATATGCTGGAAAAATTACATATACCTACAGAAAATTGATATAGAAACCTTTCTCAATAGCATAGAAAAAGTCAGTGACAGATGGATTCCAGAAAAATATATGGAAATCCAAACTATAAAGCTTTAAAAGTATATTTGAATATCTTCACAACTTCAATATAGGATAAAATTTCTTTGGCAAAATAAAGGCAAAGATAGATAATCTTAGAGAACATAAAGAAAAAGTAAATAATTTTTATCATATTAAATTTAAAACTCTTGTTTATTCACAGAGAAGAGTATATAGATAAACATAAGAGTTCCAGAATATGATAAAATATGTGCAACGTGTATATGATAAAGGGAGAGATTTTAGAAGTCAGACAAAATGATCACACACACACACACACACACACACACACACCTCACATTTGCATGTCAATACATACAAATAGTAAAATAGAATAGAGGAAAAATATTCTACAACAAATAATTCATGAAGACAAACATCAAACAAATAATAAATAAAAGAAAAAGTTTTTTGCCATATAAATAATAAGAAGAATGCAAATAAAAGGAACAGAATAAATCACACATCTGTCAGAAACTGGCAAACACTGCTGATGGGAATGCAAATTGTAATAACAATGTTGAAAAAAACAGTTTGGCATAATCTGTTAAAATTGAAAGTATTACCCTGTTATGCTGTTACCCAGCATATAGAGTCAAAGGCTCTAGTTTCTATAAACTAAAAATCATTTGCCCATTTACAACCGTATATCTGAATTTTAAAAGTTCCAAAGAAATAATGTGTGCACCTACCTCACTGGAAACATCCAAATTGTTTAGCATACATCAATATAAACAAACAAACATCTGCTGATGTAGAGAGAAAGGTAAAACAGAGAAATGCATGAAGTTTTATTTTATTCTTATGTGGTTCAAAAACAATGAAATAAACTATGCTCTTTGGGGACACGCATATCTTGTTTAGGTGTTTATCGCTAGTAAGCCTATAATCTACATACTGATAAAATGCTCACAAGGTCAATATGATTAATAGGAAGAGAGAGAGGGTTAAAAACCACTGAGATGAATAGGGATGATTCTAGGTTTTTGTCAATGTGTTATTTATTGAAGAGTGTACAAGTCATATACATTTTATATTGTAATTATTCATTAATTGCACATATAATTGTATAATCATTAATTAAATTTTGCAAATTTTCTATTTGCTATTATTTTACAATTAAAGGAGAAATAATAAGAAGGCAAATGTTCAGAAATTACAGATTATATATAGGCATGGCAGAAACTGTCAGGGTGTAAACTATATTAAAAAGTTTGTATAACATTAAGCCAATATATTAAAAACATGTAATATAGTATCTAGAACTATATTGTCATATATTTCAATATATAAGAAATTGCTCAATATGTAGTAGAAACTGTAGGAAAATACACATGCACATATAGACAGATATGTGTACGAATATGTCATTGCTATATATATCTATGTATATAAATATATATATGCGTAAAATTGTGAAGATCAAAACTACAAACACTATCAATTTTAGTTAATGTACTGAAAGTCCTAGGTAGTTTACTATCAGAAAAATAGACATTAGAATTTGAAAAAATTATTATTCACAATATACACAACTTCCTATATAGAAAACTTAGAAAATCTACTACCAAATTATTATTATAATTTAGTCATTATTGGGTTGTATAACAGTTCATTCAGAACAAAAAACATCATGGCTGCAAACCACAAACAGAAAGCAATATAATTTTATTAAAAATATTAAATTACATATTGTAATATATGTCATAAATATAACAAAACCTATTCATAACCTTTGCAGAAGGTATAGTATGCATTTATCATGGGGATAAATACCAGAGGTTCAAAGTGAATAGGCTAGTCACTGTACTCATCCTCATTGAGTGTTCTGTGCTAGAAACAGATAATTGGATAGCAAATTAGCAATATTGTGACTGGAAAAGCAGAGTTTGCCAGAGGTAGAGTAGTCCTGATTTACACCTGTTGTTCAGGCATAATTGTAATAGCACCTCCTTTCATGCTCGATTATGTTCAAATTTGGAAGATAAATTTTTTGGTCACCATAGCTATGAAAGCATTAGGTATATAAAAACGGGGCATTAATGCTAATTTGGAGGTGTTAGGAAAGACATCTCTGAAGATGTGACATAAAAACTTGGATGGACCTAATTATGATTAGAATTTATTGAAGATAAATTAACAAAGGGATGGGTGATGTGGAAGCAACTAAATCATTTGGTAACTATGATTAGCAGTAGTTTATATATAGACTGGTATTAAGGATCTCAAATAAAGTTATTCTCAACCCAGAAGACAGCATTACTGATGTTTTACATTAAAACACTCCCTTTACTTTTATTCTCTGTATTTCCTTCTTCTCTGCTATGATTATATTTTCTTTTCTCGGGACCATGAAACCCAGTAGAAAGTCATTATATGCATGTCCCTTCTTCCCATATTGGCCATCACAATTCACTTACTAAGCCAAAGTATTCACCTTAAATTATCTTAATACATCTAAATTGTCATATATCCACAATACATAATTTCTTAAATCAGTTCTAGCTATTCTCTAAACTTACTATAGTAGTTTACATATTCCTTTTCATTCTTTAAACAAATATTAAACAGATTTTGTAATTGAGAGTAGAGATGATTAATGAAAAACATGTGATTTTTTTGTTTACTGTTCCTCTACAGTTTTATTATTTCTCCCATACCTCAATTTTTGCCCTCTGTTCTGCTCAAGCAGAAATACTTTACTGTTTCCTGTTTGCCAAGGATCCATTTTCTGCTTTCAAATCACTTCAACAGACTCCTTCACATCCTGTGATGGTTTTATGAACCTATTTTCCACACTATATTTAAAAGAAAGTCTAGTATTGAATTATTTTCCCATATTGCCAAACAGTGTTGAATTTGCTGTAACCCGATTTGTTGTGAGGAATGGTGCCATGTTTTGGTGGTGTTGACATAAATATATCCTGGCACTCTCAATAATTGGGACAAAATGCACCATTTCATTTGGCCAATATACTGAGCTAATTTCTGACTTACTCATCTCTGGCATCAAAAAACACTGAGGCTGAACATCCATAGAAACCAAATATTTGCATAAAGGTGTCTTAGAGGAAATGGAAAAATCAAAGTGCAAATTAAAATTGCATTTTATTGACGACAATAGCCTCAATTATTTTTTTAAAAATAAGTGTATGTAGAAAACATTTGCCTAAACAATAAAATAAAATGTACTGAATAAACTTTTTATTTATCAAAAGTGAAATTTTCACAGTCTATTATGGGATAGAGTGTATGCTGGTACACACTGAGTCCTCAGAAATCACCATCACAAACCAATAAATATGCATTCTCGTCTTATTCCTTGAAGAGCAAAAGCTATGTGGTTGTAAAGTACTATAAGCATATAAAATCCTTTCCTGCTTCTGGTTGAGTGTGGAAATTCACTGCAGATGAGAGAGGAAGATGAAATTACTTTGCTTTTTCCTTACCATGGCAGGTCAAGAAAAATAAAAGATTTTGAAAAATGAAAGACTTCTTTCCAATATATATGTACTTTGTGGTTCAAAAGTGTACTGCACAGATGTCTTCTCTACAATTACATAGAACTCCCTTTCTTATTACAGTGAGGGAAAATCAGTGATGCCCATAAATTGGAATTTGAAAAAATAAATAAAATTAAACTCATACAACTTAAATGGTTTGAAATGTTTTGATTTTTTTTTCAACTTAGGGATTCTAAGGTTAAGTTTCTAAAACTGTACGCTTCTATTATCTAACTTTCTGGAGTATTTTATCTCTCAAAAAGAAAAATAGAAAGCTATATTTTTTCTTATATTCTATAATAGCAAACTGACTAAAGTTTACACATTTGTTAAAGTTATATTTTATTTTTAATCTGCTGGAATTTATTAAACTCTTGAAACTTTGATTGAGATTACCAATTCCCTAGCCTGTGACAAGTGCAGGTAACTTTCTAACTCAAGTCATGTAGTCCGCCACAAGGTTTCTGTGAACATGAATGGGCTCTGACCAGACTCAGACACACAAAAGAATTCCTCGCACCTTTGGTCCATACACTTTTCTGCTAGTTTTACTTTGATTGGTCCAGAGAGAGAATTGAAGGATCTGGCTCAACAGTCTAAAGAGATAATTCATTTTTACTGGGAGTAGGGAAAATGTAAGTACCTTATGGGCAATCAGAAATCTAAGGTAATATTGCATCTCTTGGCTCTAATAGGCATTTATATTCTATGTACACTCTCTGTACCTACATTTTCCTTTGTCACAGTAAGAGAACCATACTTCAGGGAAAATTTCTAGGTAAATTATTTCCAGAAATGTGATAGCAAAAGGAAGAACACTGTATTCTATTGTAACCATATCATTTAATGGTACGTTTCCTCCTAGCTGCTTCACCGAAGTCCCTTTGCGAGTCAAAGACAGCGTGTCCTCGCTATAGATATTTCCCTTGGCATAAGCTTGCCTCTCTTTTTCTCCACTCACCTTAGCTTGCTGAGACAGGAGACCATTCAGGGAAGTAGGCAAAAATCAAACCTTGCATTAAGGTTAGTTAAGGGGAAGACAGAATTCTGGATGTGTATTCAAGGGAAGCTGAGTTTTTTCACTGTACAAGTCAGTTAGTCTGTTACTGGGTTCTCTGTAAAACTGGTATCTCTCCCTCTCACTTATGTTGTCTTCTTCAGCGAAGAGGCACTTCAGCACTGTTCCCAGTCACTCTTTCTCTCCTTCCTTCTCTCTCTATCTCTTTCACTTCCTTCTTCCTCCCTCCCTTTGTCTTAATTCCATTTCCAAATACTTGATGTTTTGTTTAAAAAATGAAGATTCAGAATACAACTAAAAAGTCTGCAATAATTAGCATCTTATTACTATTACAGTGTAACTATTTTATAGTCTGTGTAATTATATCCCTATATCAAAATACTTGTTGGGTCAACTCCTGCGCTCACTATGACACTGTTTGAAGA
Organism: Homo sapiens; assembly: GCF_000001405.40. Classification (NCBI taxonomy): domain Eukaryota; kingdom Metazoa; phylum Chordata; class Mammalia; order Primates; family Hominidae; genus Homo; species Homo sapiens. Next base: position 85,804,489 of record NC_000007.14, read on the forward strand.
TAGCTTTTTTTTTCTTATAATAGTGCCTTTTTGAATTTTCATGAAGCATAGTTTTCATATATTGCAGAAAAATACTTGATATATTTTTGTGACAGTATGATGACCTGAAAAGTTGTCTGTTTTGTTGTTGTTGTTGTTGTTGTTTTGTTTTGTTTGAGACGGAGTCCGTTCTGTCGCCAGGCTGGAGTGCAGTGGCCCGATCTCTGCTCACTGCGACCTCCGACTCCCTGGTTCAAGTGATTCTCCTGCCTCAGCCTCCCGAGTAGCTTGGATTAGAGGCATGCACCACCCCCCAAGCTAATTTTTGTATTTTTAGTAGAGATGGGGTTTCACCATGTTGGCCAGGATGGTCTCAATCTCCTGACCGCCCCCTGCCATAGCTTCCCAAAGTGCTGGGATTACAGGTGTGAGTCACCGCGCCTGGCTAAGTTGTCTGTTTTTTATTTATAGATAGCACAAAGTGTGCTACTGCATTACAAGAGCTGCTCATTTCAGTATTTTTTCAGGAAATAACTGCCATAAAAGCATGTGCATTCAATTGTTATAAACCTATTTTTTACTTTTTGACTGCAGTGGAATAGTACATCCATGAAAGAAAACTCCTGGCATACCAACAGGCAGCCTTACTGGTTGAAAATTCTTACTTTCTCCTTAGGGCTTACAATTTTGGCCTGTGGCTTCTGATATAATCTAGCTTTTCTACGATAGCCAAGAAAATATGACATATATTTCCATTGTTATGCCCAGTGAGCAGGAAAATACAGAAAATACCAGAAGATACTAAGAAACTATGAACATTCAGGTACTGTGCTAAATGTTTATTATGTATTATCATTTAATTCTCAAATCAATCATGTGTTAAAATTATTATGATGAGCCTTAGACTTGGAAAGATGAAGTAAATTCCCAGGGGTCTCATAGTCCCTTAGTAAGGAGGCCTGGATTGAGATGTGAGTTGTTTGCTTAGTGCCTGCCCCACTCCACCAGTGCGTTGAACATCAATCTGGCCACTCATCTTTTAAAAATTTATCTCACTACAGTTCTTGATTTCTGACATCGCTTATTGAGCCCTGTTTTCAAAGACAGATAAGTTTGCAGAAATGTCATCTTTTTCCGAAACAGAAAGTTCTGAAGTAAATATACTTGTAGACTAGAGGAGCAGCCCCACTTTATTATTGTGTTTTATCCTAATTAATTTAATAAGCCATTTTTTCTCATTAAAAAAGATATGCTGTTGCTTTCCATTTTTTTAAACACAAATGAGAGACTGGTTTACCTATTGGATGGAAGAAAATAGTTTAGTTATCTTGCCTAGGACTTAATCCTCTGCCAGGAAAGATGAAAACAGCATATTTGGACATAAATCCAGAATCAGAGCCAGGAATTGCACTTTCTTCCTGTTTATACAGCCAAGGCTTGGTAGAGAAACCTTGGCTTACAATCTCAATTTTCAATGCAGGGGCCTCATGACTTGATTTGTATATACTCCTTGGACTACCTATTTATGTATCAGCTTTTCTTAATCAAGCTTAGATATATTATATATATAATATTATATCAATCTATCTATCTATCTATCTATCTATCTATCTATCTATCTATCTATCTATATATCTATCTATTAGAAATGACTTTGGGGTTTGTGAGAATTATGTTGATTACCTGGAGGTGCCCTGTCCACCTCTGAGTAGGAAGAGCTTCATAAGCACTGTCACCACTATCTACCTAATTCTTCAGGAAGTAACGTGACTCATGCTAGACACCCTTATTTTTCCTAAAATCTTTTGATCCTATTCATTATTTATTTTAAGCCAGTGCACCCTACCTCAAATCTTAATCTTCATAGAAGCCACTTGAGGATATTGTAAAAATGTAGAATCTGATACAGCAGGACTAGGGTAAGGCCTAACAGTCTCCATTTCTAATAAGTTCCCAGGAGGCCTAACATTCCTGGCCTCTTTGCAGTGAGGGAAGTCTCTGTCCAAGGGAACAGTCTGTCACAGGATAGTTACAGTGCAAGGCACCAAGACCTTTACTGCCTACTAGTGGCAAATGGGAGTTTGGAAGTGGCTGAGAGTGGTGAAAGTGGTGTCACTACTGCCAGTGCTGCTCATCCCAAGGTCCCATTTTGAGTAAAAAAACCTTAGACTACTGGTTTTCATCATATGATTCTGGATAACCAACATCAGCCTCTCCTGGAAATTTATTTTTTTTTCTCTTTTTTTTTTCTCTGAGTCTGGGTCTAACTGTTGCCCAGGATGGAGAGTAGTGGTGCAATCATGACTCAGGTGATCCTCCCGATCCTCCCACCTCAGCCTCCCATGTTGCTGGGACTACAGGTGTGCACCAAAATGCCCAGCTAATTTTTGTATTTTTTGTAGAGATGGGGTTTTGCCATGTTGCTCAGGCTGGTCTTGAACTCCTGGGCTCAAGCTATCCACCCACCTCAGCTTCCCAAAGTGCTAGGATTACAGACATGACCCACCATTCCAAGCTCTGAGAACTTCTTAGAGCAGCATAACCTGAGCCCTCTTCCCAATATCAAAAACTCTCAATCTGATGCCCGCTAAAATTTGAAGAATCACTGCTTTATAACACTTGCTGTCTCTCCATCCCTTTTGCTAATGCGTACACCAAATCCCTTTTAGACTCACCAGAGGAACTTCTTACTGGTCTTTCTCTTTCCCTCTTTTTTGTTAACAGTTAGAATTTTATTAAAGATAATAAAATACGTAATATTATAAAGTTCCTTAAAAGCTAGTGAGAGACTTAGACCTTCCACAAGACCAGAAGCCACACACACTGGTTATCCCCACCAAGGATTAGTCAAGCAAAGTTTTCCATTCCCAGCCACTCTCAGTCTCCCATCTGCCACTCAGTAGGCAGTGAAGATCTTGGTGCCCTGAACCCATGACTAGCCCATGACAGAATGTTTCCTTGGACAGAGCCCTCACTCACTCCAAAAAGTCCAGGAATGTTAGGCCTCCTGGACATTCCAAGTCCTAGGCCAGCTTTGGACTGGGACCAGGCCTACAATAAAAGGACAAGAGCAGCAGAATAACTTGTAAAGGTTCAAAGTGGGTCTCCATTTAATACCAGGAACAGTTTTACCCCACCTCAATGGCTGAAGTGCACCCATTCCAGCTCCTCTTTCCCCACCTACAAACTATCCTTCACATTGATACCACAGTGATTTTTAAATTGAAAATTAGGATATTTATTCCTCCTTAAATCTCTCCTTGCAAAATAAAGTCTAAAGTTTGTAACCTAGTACCTATAGACTAATTAAAATAAATATCAATGATTTGCAAAAAATAAGTGATGATTCAAGGTAAAATTTCCAGTTAGAGTATTATATATGGATGCAAAAAAATTGCTCGATGTGAGTACTCATATTGATATGATTTGGCTGTGTTCCCACCCAAATCTCATCTTGAATTGTAGCTCACAGAATTCCCATGTGTCATGAAAGGGACTCAGTGGAAGGTAGTTGAATCAGGGGGATGGGTCTTTCCCATGTGTCATGAAAGGGACTCAGTGGAAGTTAATTGAATCAGGGAGATGGGTCTTTCCCATGCTGTTCTCATGATAGTGACTAAGTCTCCCGAGATCTGATGGTTTTATAAAGTGAAGTTCCCCTACACAAGCTCTCTCTTGCCTGCCACCATACAAGATTTGACTTTGCTCCTCATTTGCCTTCTGCTATGATTGTGAGGCCTCCCAGCCATATAGAACTGTCAGTTAATTAAACCCCTTTCCTTTATAAATTACCCAGGCTCAGGTATGTCTTAATTAGCAGCATGAGAACATACCAATACAGTAAATTGGTACTGGTAGAGTGGGGTGCTGCTGTAAAGATACCCAAAAATGTGGAAGCAACTTTGGAACTGGGTAACAGGCAGAAGTTGGAACAGTTTGGAGGGCTCAGAATATGACAGGAAAATGTGGGAAAGTTTGGAACTTCCTAGAGATTTATTGAATGGCTTTGACCAAAATGCTGATAGTGATATGGACAATAAGGTCCAGGCTGAGGTGGTCTCAGATGGTGATGAGGAACTTGTTGGGAAATGAAGTAAAGGTCACTCTTGCTATGCAAAGAGATTGGCTGTATTTTGCCCCTGCCCTAGATGTCTGTCGACTTTGAAGTTGAGAGAGATGATTTAGGGTATCTGGGGGAAAATTTTTCTAAGTGGCGAAGCATTCAAGAAGAAGCAGAGCATAAAAATTTGGGAAATTTGCAGCCTAATGATGCATTAGAAAATAAAAATCCATATTCTGAGCAGAAATTCCAGCCAGCTGCAGAAATTTGCATAAGTAACAAGGAGCCAAATGTTAATCGCCAAGACAATGGGGGAAATGTCTCCAGGGCATGTCAGAGACCCTCACAGCAGCTCCTCCCATCACAGGTCCAGAGGTCTAGGATAAAAAAATGGCTTCCTGGGCTAGGGCCAGGGCCCCCCTGCTCTGTGCAGCTTAGGGACTTGGTTCCCTGTGTCCCAGCTGCTCCAGCTGTGACTAAAAGGGGCCAAGGTACAGCTCAGGCTGTGGCCTCAAAGTGTGCATGCCCCATCCTTGGCAGCTTTCACATGGTGTTGAACCTCCAGGTGCACAGAAGTCAAGAATTAAGGTTTGGGAACCTCTGACTAAATTTCACAAGATGTATGGAAACACCTGGATGTCCAGGCAAAAGTTTGATGCAGGTGCAGGGTCCTCATGGAGAACTTTTGCTAGGGCAGTGCAGAAGGGGAACATGGGGTGGGAGCCCTCACACAAAGTCCCGAGTCAGGCACTGCCTAGTGAAGCTTTGAGAAGAAGGCCACTTTCCTCCAGACCCCAGGATGATAGATCCACCACAGCTTGCACCAGAGACTTGACTTTGCTCTTCATTTGCCTTCTTCCATGGTGGTGACACCTCCCCAGCCATGTAGAACTGTGAGTCAATTAAACATTCCTTTATAAATTACCCAGTCTCTGGTATGTCTTTATTAGCAGAGTGACTGCTAATAACACACATACACACATACAGAAAAAAAATGATGCTGCTTCATGGATATCAGTGTTCTTGACCCCCTTTTCTCAAACTGTAAAAGAAACATGGGAAAACATAGAAGTGTAAATCTGAGAGATGCTAGAGTAGGTTTTGTCCATATTTGGAAAAATGTAGAATAATACTTGATACTTTTGCTTTTCAACTTATACTTAACTTGTAGGTGGATTGGCTGAATAACTTCTCTCAGCCTCTATATTAATTTTTAAAAGAAATTCTAGAATAGAGATTGGAAAATTTGGGTCAAACTATGTAGTTTAGAAAGTTACAATTATCTGTAATTGCTTTATTTCCATGCCCAACTTTTTTTTTAATATGAAAGATATTAAATATAGCTGGTGTTCTTTTTCCACTTGTAGTGCCACTATTTGGCATTTTGGTGTAAGAAATAGAGTTCAAAATGTTTTTCACACCTTCTAATTTTGTTTCCCAAGATCTGTTTTTAGGTTAGGTAGACGGACTCCCTTATGAAGTTCCTTCCAGAAGTTTTCATTGTGATATTTTATTTTTGAAAACTGAGCCTCTAGGTGTGGTAATAATCAGTGTTGTTTAAAGAGGTACTTTAAGAACTTACCTAAAGAATAACACACAATTCTTTGAATTTAGAACTTGTTATGTTAAAAATGCTTTCTTTTTATTTGAAAGCTTTTACTTTGCTTCTTTTTTTCCCTTTGCTTTTATTTAGTTTGAAGGATGTTGCTAAGTAATGAAAGATTCAATATTAAATTAATTAAAAAGTGGTTCAAAAATTAAAAAATGAAGAAAATGGTTTCAAAAAAAACAGACTTTGTAGCCTTATAAAAGTTTGAATCAAGGTTTATATAAAGTTTTGCTAAAAGTTATTGACATTAGTGGTGGTGGCCATTAGGTTAAATTACCTTGAAAATAGTCTAAGAAACATATTATACTGGGAGATGAAAAGAAATGTACTATTTAGCCATATTATTTCTTTCTATAACTGTAAGCAATTGACTTAAGAAGGCAGAAGCTTTCTTAAGTCCTGTGAGTCCACGTACATTCAAATCGCAATTATCAACACACAACAGAGTTTCAGACAACCTATTCTGTTTCGAGTGTATGACTTTGTACAAATCATTTATCATTTCTGGGGTTCAGTATTCTGTATTACATTATGGAGAAGATTACCATTGAAGATTCTTCCAGCTCTGAAATATTCTGATTAGGTATGTAGTTAAGAAATTCATACCAAGGGTTGGCTCCAGGACTTATTCTTCACCTGCCAAATTTTTTTTTTAGTTCCTGATACACAGGAGCTCAATGTATCTAGATATCCCTTAAAACAAATTTTTGAATAATAAAATTTAATTAAAAATTTTGCATTGCATTCCATTGGCAACATTTCATACTGATTTCACTCAGTCCTATCAATAAGATAATTTCCTTATATTTTTCACATGACTGTTGTTTTAATAGTTGGAGAAATAGCTATCTCTATATTAAAACATTTCTCAAAGAGTCCACATAGATACCTATAAATTTTAATTACAAATTTAAGAAGAAGAGGTAAATATATAAAAGCAACATCTATCATTTTCTGCTAGATTGTTCTACTTTTTCTGATTTGTTTTAAATTTTTACACAAAGATTGAATCACTTTTATATGTAACTTTATAGCTAATGTGATTAGAAAACATATTGATGCATTATATAAATATTATATGGCCATATGGATTTTTGAAGTGATGTCTGACATACCAAATGTGAATCCATTTTATACATTCTTTTATATATAGTCAAGTGATAGCTATACAATAGGCTTAATAAAACAGCAAACAGCTCATTTGTCCTCCCTCTTTCGTCTAATTGCCCAACTTTCACAAATGAGGAAAATCTAATACCAAATATATCATTGTAAGTAGAAAAGTGTTTTGTTTCACTTTGTTGTTCCTTATTTTTAAAATGTATTCCAAGATTGAAAGAACTAGAACGTCACGGAGAGTACCAGAAATTTTTGTGCCCACAGACCTTGTAGAAGCTATGTTGGGGGTAGAGTTTGGAGTATGAATAAGCTGGAAGTAGGGAACCACAATAAATAATGAGATTTTGGTCATTTATTTTTTAAATAAGACAATACTGTATGGCTTTTTGAGTCCTGGAATTTTATGACATTCAGAAGATGGATGAGAAGAGCATTCCCATTAAGACCATTAAGGCAAGATTGTGAAGGTAATTTTAAGAGGATCAAGAGCCTGTAATACTAGAATCGGATCATTTGACACTGTGTCATTAACCTGATACTGCAGCTAATGTTCTCCAGTTTCCTTCTCTCTAAATATGAGGATAATAAAAGTATTTATTTTCTACTTAATAGACGTATAAGTTTAACACAAATAGTACACTTAAAGCACTTATTTAAAGTATCAAGTAGTTTGTAGTTATAAAATATTGTTTATTGATAAATATAATTTGCATAGATTGGATTTTAATAAGTGGTATCTATAGTACTAAGTTCCTTAAATCTATTATTTAATCTAAAACTAACAATAACTCTATAGAACAATAGTTAATACCCTTTAGAGCTGAATTTTACTCATGAGAAAACAGTCTTGTCCATGCCCTACAGATTATTGAGAAATAGAGCCAGAATTTAAAGCTAGGATTGAAGACACCCTAATCTGCATTTGAGCACCAAGTAAGTCCTAAGAGCCACTTTAAAATGTATTTTGTATATTATAAATATTTAAGTATTATGCTCAAAATTTCATATGTGGTAATCAGAATTCAAACTAAATCTATGGCTCTTTATGTTTCTGCTTCAAGATAATCAACCCCTGTTACAATATTTCTTCTATAATGTGTATTGAGGCTGAAACAAATCCATGTAATTTTTATTTTACACAAGATATAGAGTATCTCAAACAAGTGTAAATTCTCAAAAAGCATTTTGAGATTTAATGTTAAGAGTTTTCATCAATGACTATAGACATTTTGAAAGAAAGTAGCCCAGCCTGTCTATGGAAGAAAAAGAGAAATAAGCCTATAATTTCTTTTAATCTTACTGTGATCTGAGGTAATCATTAACAAATGTTACGTAACTTACTCCCAAGAGAAATTATAAATAAAAGACAGAAAAATCTCCCAACCATGACTCTTTGTGGGATATTATATTAATCAGTGGTTGGTAGAATGTGCCAAATTATCTTATTTAAAACACACACACACACACACACACACACACACACACAAAGCATTTTCTCACTCATCAAGGAAATTATCACCGTCAACAATTCCATTTGGCTTTACAAATAAGTGTTGCTCCTAAAGTTGCCATTAAATATAGGACCAGTTGATAGATTAAAATAAAGTAAGCTTTTCCTCCAACTCATCCATCTCTATTAGCAACGGCAACCTTTTAATGAAGACATTCACACCGTTACTACAATATAACACATGCTGAATTCCTCTAGTGCCTTCCAAATAGCACACCTGTGTATGATATACAAAAGCCAATAATAGAAAATTGATCTAGGAAGAAACAGTTTTATTTGTTCTGAGGCATGAAACACAGTTTATCATGAGTAAATTCACGAAAGATTTTATATGATTTTTTTTTCTGAAATAAAATATGGGGAAAACATAAGCAACAAATATACTAAAGATATAATGGCATTGCATGTGACATGTAGGCAACAGAAACAAAGTTAATAAATAACATAAACAAGTAGCTTTCAAGATTTGACTTGGGTGATAGGAATTGTTCATTATCTAATGTCAGATATTGCCTAGAGGAAGTGTATTATTTTCATTCATATTTGGATCATCACACATTTACATAAAAAACTGTAGTTGACTGCTAGTTTCAAAAACCTAATTGCAATAGCCTACACATTAAAAGGTTTATTTTTCTCCTATAACAAGAAGCCCTGTATTAGTCCATTCTCACACTGCTATAAAGACATACCTGAGTCTGGGTAATTTATGGAAAAAAAGAGGTTTAATTGACTCACTCTTTCACAGGCTGCCCAGGAAGCATGGCTGGAGCAGCCTCAGGAGACTTACAATCATGGCGGAAGGCGAAGGGGAAGCAGGCACATCTTTACATGATGAAGCAGGGGAGAGAGAGCAAAGTGGAAGGTGCTACACACTTTTAAACAACCAGATATTGTGAGAACTCACTATCATGAGAACAGCAAGGGGGACATCTGCCATCATGATCTAATCATGTCCTACCAGGTCCCTGCCCCAACATTGGGAATTACAATTTGACATGAAAATTGGGTGGGGGCGCAGAGCCAAACCATATCAAGTTCACAGTGGGCAGTTTCTGTCATTTTTTCAGTGGTTCAGGATATTAGGACCAAGTCTCTGTGCTTTTCTGAGCCTTATATATTATGATCTCAACACGGCTGCTATAGCCTTGTCCAGTCTTGTTTGAGGGAGCTAGAATGAGAATGGGACAAGAGCAGTAAAGTGATGCCCCCTCAACTAAATTACAAGAAATTACAGTGCTTTTTCTAAAACCTCATCAAAGGGCTCCTGCTTATATTTCCTTGGCACCCTCATCTCAAAGGAGTTTTATACTAAAAAGTTTGCCACTAACCCACATAGAGGAATTTTCTTACTGATGACAAAGATGAGAATACCTGTAGGAGAGACGAGGAGGTATTTTTGTTAACTGCACCCTAGCGAAACTTACTTCACAACTGATACAGAGAAAAGTGTATATAATTTAAACGTTGTATTTATTATAAAATTATGGATGGGTAATGATAGCATGAGTTTATTTATCAGATGAGAATTGTGAGATTTAAAAGTTAGTATTTCCCAGCCAGGCGTGGTGGCTCGCACCTGTAATCCCGGCACTTTGGGAGGCCGAGGTGGGCAGATCACCTGAGGTCAGGATTTCAAGACCAGCCTGACCAACATGTTGAAACTGCATCTCTACAAAAATACACAAATTAGCCAGGCATGATGGTGGGTGCCTGTAATCCCAGCTACTCAGGAGGCAGAGGCAGGAGAATCACTTGAACACGGGAGGCGGAGGTTGTAGTGAGTCGAGATGGTGCCACTACACTCCAGCCTGGGCGACAGAGCAAGACTCTGTCTCAAAAAAAAAAAAAAAAAGTTAGTATTTCCCATCAATCTGGTAAAACACATTATAAAAAATAAAAGTGGAAATTAACTTAGCCAGTTAAAGCAACTTATTACAAGCATCAGTTTCAAGTTTTCATAAAAGAATTTTAATATTCTTCACACTTATTCTAATGTTATTAGTTAGCTTTTAAAGAAACGGTTATCTACCTACAACAGAATAGTTCCACAATAGTTCCACAAATACACCTATTTACAAACTAAAAATAAAAATTAAGTTAAATAAAATTGTTATATATAATATGTATTTATGTATATATGATTCAAGTTAGAAACAGAACAACTTTACATGGCACTCAAACTTTCTAATGTCAAAATAGTCTTCAATTTGACTTAACATATTACTTTCAAAAGTAAAATATCCAAGTTGGACAAATTAATGAATAATAAGTAGTGGGAAGTAGACCCTTAAACTGATTTACTTCAGAAGCTTCATTATGTATTTCTCACCCTCCTTTATATGTTGCTTTATCATTTAAACTATAAACGGTGTAAGAGTTTATGAACACATGGGGATAAAACAGATTATTTTATGCAACTATAAAATTTGTAAAGAAAAATTACTCACAAATGTCAGCATGTGTGTCATACTTTATTCATTCGTAAAATTAGTATATAGAACAATAAAACCTAAAATTTTATTAAATATAAAAATGTATACTATGCACATTAAATTTTATATTTTCAATTTTGTTCTTTTTGCAAGAAAATTTTGCTACTTAATAAAAGATTATCTGATATGATGTATATATTTGAAGGCTGACTGAGTGAGTGATATGTTGGAAATATTTTCTTGCTAAATATGTTTTCAGTTACTTAAAAGATGCAATAAGTTGTAAGGCCTTAATATAGTTGCAGTACTAATGTAATCTATTTGGTCCTTTCTGCAATAGATGGAAATAAGTGACTAAGAAATTAACAAAGTATAAGTCCTTCTGGAAATTCAAGATAATAAAGAGCAACTTTATTTAATATTCCACAAATGTTCTATTTACATTATGCATCCTGATTAAGTGCCAGAACACTTTTTATTCAGTAAATATGACTGCACCCATTTTCTTACATTACATTTTACAGAAGACAGATGGCCCCAGCATGTGTTCCCTCTTGGAATATGATCTAAATTCCTGATTCCAATGAGTATGCATGTATATGTTTGCATGTGGATGTGGATGTACATCAAATAGAAATGTATTCTTTGACACCACACATTTTTGTCTCATGATGGAAGAAAAAATGTTATTATTAAAAACAAATAATTACAGAGTAAATAAAGAATTCTGATTTTTTATGAAATTGCACATTTCATAGAAATGGGAGTGAAGGGCTTTCCAAACTTTCTGAAGTAGATTTTTGTAAATGTTCTTTATCCCCAAATTTTAGTGTTGGATAGTCCCTTAGAGGTCATCTAGTGACTAAGCCCTTCGTAAGGAAAGGCCTTGATGCCTTAGCCGGGAGGTTTTAAGTGTATGAACAAGGTCACAAAAGCAGAGGCAGAGGACTTTCGTTTTGGGTGATAAAGCACATTATTCCAGTCTTTACAAGCAGGAAAAAGCTAGGCAATCTGAAAATTAATTCTTTTTTAAGCCATCAAATAACTAAAATCCCAGAGCAACCAAATAACCAAAACTCCAGGGAGAGACAGGCATTTGCAGGCAGAAAGATTCTGACTGCAAAATTGCTTCTGGAACACATGCCATAAGACTCCATAGAAGCCTATACAAAGATACATCTAAAGGTTTTCAATTAACTGTTAAATATTGAATGCAAGTGTATGAGAGTGAAACCTCTGGGAACATGTGTAAAGAGGCTCACACTCTTGTAGGCTTTGCCTCCACAAATGCCACACACAACATTCATAAAGAAAATCACAGAGAACCCTTAGAAAATGCTGAAGCTCTGTCACATTGGGAGGATAGGAGTGGTTGTCAGATGCCATTGCTACAACTCCAGCCAGACCGTTCCATCTTTCCTACAGATAACAGCCTTGATCTCCGGGGAAGGACAAAAAAACTTACCACTTTAGGGCACTGGTAGAAAACCACTGCAGCTGGGACAACCACAGGGTGAAAAAGCATTACCTCTGAGGATGATCAGGGTGCATGCCATTCCAACCTCTAGTATTTGAGGAAATGCAAGAGAAGTTGCAAAGGGCATACTACTGAGGCCCAGGGACACAGTACCATCCTAAAACTGTGGCTTAATCTCAGCGTCCCTCCTTCTCACCCACGTGATTACAAGCCTTTAGAAAACAACAGTGGAATACAGCTGGGAGGTCTGCAAGAGATATTTTTTCTTGTAATGCAAGAAATGCAATATAATGTAATGCAATGTAGTGTAATGCAAAAGAAAGACCCAAACCAACATGGGGAAAGAGCCATTGACAAAAACAATACTCTGGCAGTCTACCTGATCAAAGGACTTTGAAGCCTGTGTGTGACACCTTAATGGGTGTGACTAAGTATGACCATTCCAACCAACTTCAAATCCAGCCTAATCCCTAATAGGATTACATAAACCAACACCTTGCTGGCCTAGTACAAATTTCTCTAAGAATAAAACATTCTTACTTTCAGTAACTACTCTCCTTCATAAGATGTCAGTTTTTAACAAAAAATTATAAGGCAAACAACAAGGCAAAAGAGAGAAAACAATCATCAAAGCAGACTTAGATATGCCCAGGCAAGTATTCTTAAGAATATGATTACTATGTTAAAGGTTCTAATGAAAAAGAGAGACAACATGTAAGATCAGATACATCATTTCAGCAGACTGAGGGACACAGTAAGAAAAAATTCAAATGGAAATACTAAATATTAAAAACATGGTAACATGAAAAATATATGAATAACAGTGAAGAATAATGCCTTCAGCACATTCATTGGTAGATTTGTCATGCCTGAAGAAATGATTGGTAAAATCACCCAAATGAACATAAAAAAATAAGACCATAAAGGAAAAGAAACAAAACAGAAAACAACAACAACAAAATATAGTCTCCAGGAGCTGTGTGAAAATACCAGTTTTACATTCGCATAATTGAAATTCAAGAAGGAGAAGAAAGGGAAAATGAAGTAGATAAAATATATAAAGAAATAATGTTGAAGAATTTTGCAAAATTAATGGCAGACACCGAACCACAGACCCAAGAAGCTCAGAGAGCACTAAGTAGAAAAATAAACACAGATATATGTTATATTCAAGATGTTAGAAATTGAGTCAAATACAACATATTGAGAGAAGTCAGATAATAAGCACATATTACCTGTACAGAAACAAAAATGAGAATTTCAGCTCACTCCCATTAAAAACAAAACAACAAACAAAAAACAGGTAACCAGGAATGAAATAAAGTAACACTTAAGTATTGAAAGAAGAAAAAGTAAACCCAGAATTCTATATATAGTAAAAATATCTTTCAAAAAGTTGGATAAATGCCTTCTAAAACAAACAAAAGAACTTCATTTTACTTCCATTTATTTTCATTTCCAATTCTTTACACTCTTCATGTAAAATTTCTGATTAAAATTATGTTTCTTCTGCCTAAAACATTTCTTTTAAACTTAATTTATCAAGATATAATTAATAAATTATATCTGCTGAGTTATAAAGAACATCCAGATACACATTCTTTTCAAAAATATTTAACAAGAGAGAGCCTGTTGTGGGTCATAACTTATATTATGAACTATAAACTTTAAAATTTATATTATGAACTTTTTGAAAAGTGTATATCTGCATGTTCTTCACTGACACATTTTATAAACGTCAATTAGGTCAATTTGGTTGATAATGTAGTTCAGAATATGTGTATCCTTACTGGTTATATGTATCCTTACACAATTATAATAAATTAAAGTGGAAAGCACTGACATAATAATACATTTTAAAATTCCCAAATATTTAGAAATTAAGCAACATATTTCTCAATAACCCATGGGTTATAGGAAGTTTGGGGAAAATTTGAAATCATTTTGAACTGGATTTTAAAAATACAATATATTAAAATATGTGAGTTGGAGCCAAAACAGTGCTTAGGAGAAAATGTATAGCATAAAATACTCTTTTAGAACAGAAAGATGATTTCATATCATGAATTAATTTTCCAATTTAAGCAAGGGGAAGAATATAAAATAAAAGTCAAATCAGGCAGAATGAAGGAAAATGGGATTTACTAATATTAGAAATCAAAGATGGCACATCATAAGTGATCCCAATAGAATCTAAAAGGAACTTAAGAGAACCTGCAACAATTACATGCTCATAAATTCAGAAATTTATAGAAATGAATCAATTCTTTCAGAAACAAAGACTGCTAAAATTCACACAAATATAATTAGATAACTTTAGGAGTTCTACATTTATTAAATAGTGTGTAGTTGAATATTTTGCATAGATAGAAAACTCCAGGCATGAATGGTTTCAGTGATGAATTCTACTAAATATTTAGAAAAGAAAGAATATCAATTGTAAAAAAAAATTTCAAAAAAATGGAGAGGGAACATTTCCCAGCTCACTGTCTGAGGTCAGCAATACTCTAATATCAAAATAAGAAAAAAACTACAAACTATCATCTTGAACAAAAATCCTGAACAAATTTAATCCTTCAAAATATAAAATGGATTAAACATCACAACAAATTCGATTTTATCCCAAGAATGAAGAGTTGACTGAATATTTGAAAAGCAAACAATATAATTCACGATATTAACAAATTAATTAGAAAACATGAATATTTCATAGATACAGAAAAGAAATTGATAAAATATAATGTCAGTTAATGATACCTACAACAAACTGGGACTAGAATACTAGAATGGAACTTCCTTAGCTTAATATAAGGGATCTATAAAACAACATAACATTGAAAATGTCCAACTTACAGCATTCTTAATTCTGATAAACTGAATAATTTATTACTAAAGTCAGTATAAAGGCAAAAATGTCTGCTCTCACCAATCACAGTCAACATTGCTCTCACCACTCATAGTCACCCTTGTTTTTCAAGTCCTACTAAAGGTCATAAGGCAAGAAACAAAAATAGAAAGCATACTGAATAGAGAAAGAAAATTGCTGTCCATACAGAAAATTCAAATTATCTACCCCAAATAGACAGAACTAATATGCCCAATCTGCAATAGAGTTAATTTCTGTATTAAGAATCAATACAGAAAAATTACTCATATTTCTATACATCAGCAATGTACAGTTGGAGTTTGAAATTAAAGCAAACAAGCAAACAAGAAACACTATAGCAGCCACAAAAAAATACTTAACTGGGTGCGGTGGCTCACGCTTGTAATCCCAGCACTTTAGGAGGCCAAGGCGGGCAGATCACAAGGTCAGGAGATCGAGACCATCCTGACTAACACGGTGAAACCCCGTCTCTACTAAAAATACAAAAAATTAGCCAGGTGTGGTGGTGGGCGCCTGTAGTCCCATTCTGAGGCAGGAGAATGGAGTGAAAGAGCTTGCAGTGAGCTGAGATCGCACCACCGCACTCCAGCCTAGGCGGCAGAGCGAGACTCCGTCTCAAAAAAACAAAACAAACAAGCCAACAAAAACTTACATATAATTTTTTGTAAAAAAAAAAAAATGTATGCTAGACCTATATGCTGGAATCAAGGAAACAATGATGAAGGAAATAAAAGAAAACCTATAAAATGGAGAGATATAGCATGATCATGGATTGTAAGGCTCAATATTTTTAAGCTGTCAATTATATCTAATTCACCATATAGATTTGGTATAATGCCAATCAAAATCTATGAAAATGTTTTTCTCGGTGTTGACAAAATGATTAAAAATTTATATGGAAATGCAAAGGCACTAGAATAGACAAACAACTATAAAAAATTGGAGGATTTGGTACTACTGAAATTGAAGACATTATAAAGTCACAGTAAACAAAAGTGTCTTAAGTCTCACAACTTGTACAAAAATTAACTCAAAAATATCATAGACCTGCATAAAATAAAAGATTATATAACTTTAGAAGAAAACATAAGAGAAAATTTACATAACCTCAAGTTTGACAGGTTTTAGATATTGATGGCAGTGGCCACTTCAGAGGGCCTGCCAGTGTCATCATGCTGACTGCAGCAGGTAGACTAGGCCCAAGTTGCACCCAAGCTGTGGCTACAGATCTATCCTCTCTGTGCTCTTGTGGGGGCCAGGGACAGGCAGGAACCCTGCGCTCTTGGACACAGTGGCAGCCACTGAAACCGTGGCTGCTGATGCGGGCCTCCTGCTCTGGACCTAGGCCTCATGCTCCAGACCCAGGTCTCCTGCTCCACAGAGCAGGCAGGGACCCCACTCTGTCCCCCACCATTCCCACTCCTACCTTTGTTTAAACTGCAGCTGCAGACTCAGGCATCCCTACACTCTTGAGGGCCCAGAAAGCTCCACCAACCCTGCCCTTGCAAGCTGGGAAGTACCTGTTCCAGCTGCCTGGCTTTTCCCTGCTGTCAGGGCTGCTCCAATCTCAGAGCAGTCAGGCTGAGTCCAGGTGCCATGAATGGTAGCAGAAGGCAGACAGATTCCTGGGCAGAAGAGGGAGGGCCCACTGTGAGGCCCCACCTTCAGGCCAGGAAGTGTGTGAAGGCTGGGAGCCAGGCTATCAGTCCCATAGACTGGATTGGGAACTTGCAGTGCCCCTTCCAGCCGGCCCATGGTCACACATGGACCAATCGGTGTGCACTTTCTCCTCTCTGAGGCCCATAAAAGCCCTGGACTCAGCCAGAGCTGAGCAGATCACTGGATAACCAGCTGCAGAGAGAAGCTATGCTCTCTGCATATAGCAGGAGACACGAACAAGCAGCTGCAGAGAGAAACAACCCAATCCAGGGCCTCCTCTCTGCTAGGAGCTGAGGAGATGATGAAGGACCTGCCTACAGGGAGGAGCTACCCTCTCCAAAACCCCTTCTCTGCTGAGAGCTACAGAGAGGACAGGATGACCTGCCTGCAGAGAGGACCTTTCCACTCCAGGGTCTCCTCTCTGTTAGGAGCTGAACATTTGTTGGGACATGCTGACTGTGGAAAGGAGCTACCCGCTATGGGTTTCATTTGAGCTGTCCTATTGTTCAATAAAGCTCCTCTTCATTTTGTTCACCTTCCACCTGTCTGCATACTTCATTCTTCCTGGTTGCAGGACAACGACTCAGGACCTGCTGAATGGTGGAGTTAAAAGAGGTATAACACAAACAGGGCTGAAACAAACCCCTTGCTCACCATGTTGTGGGTGAAGAGAAGCAGAGAAAAGTTGCCTCCCCTCAGGGAGCTGAGACCAGAAAGCTCCAAGAGCCGGGGCTGTGGCTCTTTCTTTGGGGTCCTGTGGTGCCTGTCATGTCCGAGCTTCTGGGTGCCATTGTGTTTCCCAGTGACAGCTGGGGAGGCTGCTTGCAGTGTGCCTGGTCCAGCTGCAGCCCTGCAGAGAGCTGGTGCCTATGCTGGCACCTGGAGCTGCCTGCCCTGCTGCAGCAGCCAGTGTGTCTGGCTGCACAGTGGCCAGACCCCACACTCGCTCACACATCCCTCACCATTCCACACCTGACTCGCCCTTGGCAGGCATGGGATCCAGGCTGGTAGCATGAGCTGAGCACAGCCTGCCAGGCCAAGTGGGCAGAAAGAGCCCAGTGGGCCCAAGAAAACTTGGGCAAAGGCATCACTGGGCAGAGGTTTCAGGCCAGAAAAGTGACACCCCAAGAATCCTATAACAATATGACACCAGGCTTAAGTCTTAAGTTTTCAAAATTTGATAGATTTGACTTTTTATATTATCCTAAATTGTTATGTGAAACACCTTTTTAAAAGTCTGAAAAAATAAGCAACAGACTCAAAGAACATATATGCAGTTAACATATCTCATAATAATGTTTATCCAGAGTATATTTAAATCTTTAAAAATTTAATCATAAGAAAACAACCAGATAACACCCTTCTAAGGATTTGGGGCTGAGTTTTTGTTTTTCTAGTTATTTCAGGTGTGGTTTATTTGAGATCTTTATTTTTATTTATAGGTGTTTATTGCTATGAACTTCCGTCTTAGAACTGCTTTTGCTGTATCTCATAAGTTTGGGTATGTTGTGTTTCCATTTTCATTTAGGAGAAATAAGTTTAAGAGATCTGTTATATAGCATAATGACTATAGTTAATGATATATTGTATTCTTGAAAAATGCTAAGAGTAAATATTGTGTTCTCACTAGAACTATGTGAGGTGATGCATATATGTTACTTAGCTGGATCTAACCTTTTCACAATGTATATTACTTTAAAACATCTTGTTGTACAAATAAATACAATTTTGTCTGTCAAGTTAAATAAATATACAGGTAGGTGATAGATAGATGATAGACAAATGCACTGATAACCCAATAAAAAATAGGCCAAAGATTTAAATAAGCACTCTATCAAAGATATACATTTGGCTAATGAGCACATGAAATAACGATCAACACAATCAGTCATTAGAAATTTGCAAATTAATAGTACAACGAGATATCACTATGAACCTGTTTGACTAAAATTTAAAAAAAACAAAAGACTGACAATACCAACTGCCAGTGTGAACATGGAACATCTGAAACTCTCAAATACTGTGGTGCAAATGCAACATTGCACAGTCACTTTGGGAAATGGTTTGACAATTTCTTTATAAAACAAAACATGTACTTACTATATGATACAGTAATCATATTTCTTGGTGTTTAACCAAGTAAATTGATCCAAAAGACTGTATATTGTATAATATCATTTATATGACAACTTGAAAAAGCAAACATCTAAGAACAGAAATGAGATCAGAGATTTTCATGGATTCCAGTTGGCATGAGCACTAGGGAATCACAAGGAAATGTGGGTTAATGGAATTGGTTCTGCGTGATTATGTGGCAGTGGATACATGACTCAATGCATTTGTTCAAACCCATAGAACTGTACACCACAAAGAGTGAATAGTGTTGTATGCAAATGAATAAAGTCAACCCAGATGTCTGTGGAGCCCAAGACGAAATACAGACTGTTTCGAATGAATCTAACTGTATTTTGAACGCATGACAGAACTACTCTAAAGGAGAGAGGCGAGAAAGGAGCTGAACTAAATAAATTTGTAACTCAGTGTTTTCGCCAGATAGCGTCAGTTAAAGATAAAAATAACTATCTACATATACACAAACAAACACACCCAGAAACAAAAGAAAATATAGGGACAGAGTTAATAGCATTGCTCAGCTCTCAGTCTGTTGCACTTTCTATGGGGGCCCACTGCCTAAGTCATTTTCTTTTTAATCTCAGTTCTCAGTTAAGTTTTCGAAAATTATAACAAAAAGTTCACTTTTGACAACATAGATGTTGTAATCATGAAGTTGCTTTATGATCTTTATTTGCTTGGAAGTATAATGTTGTTCTCAGGCTCCCAAATCTAAAATATCTCTAATAACAAAAATGCATTTGTCAGCAGTGTTGTCTCCCTTGAAACAGCTCAAGAAGCAGCTTCTTTTCTATGTGTTTTATAAAATGTTCCATCTGGATTTCATGAACAGAAAGGTCCACTCCAGCCACAAAACTGGATAGATAAGCAGCCTTCATTTGATGCTGGTGTTTCACAGGTATTTTCTTTCTTTCTTTTTTGAAACAGAACCTCGCTCTGCTGCCCAGGCTGGAGTGCAGTGGCATGATCTCGGCTCACTGCAACCTCCACCTCCCTGGTTCAAGCAATTCTCCTGCCTCAGTCTTCCGAGTAGCTGGGATTACAGGCGTGTGCCACCATGGCCAGCTAATTTTCTGTATTTTTAGTAGAAACAGGGTTTCACCATGTTGGCCAGGCTGGTCTCGAACTCCCGACCTCAAGTGATCCACCCACCTCGGCCTCCCAAAGTGCTGGGATTGCAGGCGTGAGCCACCGCGCCCAGCCTCACAGGTACTTTCTAATCAAAGTTAAAAGAACTGGCAAAATAAATAAAATAAAATATTCTGTCTGATTAATATACTGCTCAGTTTCCCAGAATCTCAAATATCATCCACCTCAGCTTCTTGTACTGAAATGACAACACCTGCATCTTAAGGGAATGCCATTGTTGTATATGCCATTATTATTTTCTAAAAGGCTTATGCTTTGTTATTTTCAGTGACTTTGGTCTTCTGTGTCATTAAATACACAACTACTTGAGCAATTTGTTACTGGCTAAGAAAGTATTCCTTGCCCCTTTTAGCCTGTCTTTTTCCCATATCCAATGTAATGTTCCACACACTCAATTCTGCTGCTTCTTTCTTCTTATTTTGATTTACAGACAATCTTAGGATCAACTTTTATTTATTTTCTTCTTTATTGTATAAATTTAAAATGTACAACAGCATGTTTTGATATATATGTGTGTATATATATATATATATATCCATGATGTGTATATATATATATATATATATATATATACATAATTAAATGACTGTTATAGGTAAGCAATTTAACATGCACATCTCACAGTTTCCTTCTTTTTTTTACCCCATTGCAATTAAAACACCTAAAATCTACTCCCATAGACTGTTTCAAGTATATAATACAATGTTACTAAATCAATATATAACTCTATTCTGCTTCTTGACTGAGTACTTTGTCTAACTTATCAAATGAGTGTGTTCTCTTTAGCAATTATTTGCCATATGATTACTATTATTATTATTATTATTCATTATTCATCTTGTATTGGCTGAACTTCCTGCTTTCTGCATAAGATCGGCTTTTTCTTGATTTTGAACTATTCACAAAAGCCTCCTGAAATATACTTTCACCAAATGCTAAAATAAATTTTGTTATAAATTCTTTTTCTCCTCTAGAGGATTGCAAAACTACCAGTTTGAAAAAAGTTCAACTGGCACTGGCTTTGTACATATGATGCTGTTGATTTGACAGAGATGATGATAAAGGTAGTTGCTCAGGAGCTAATTTGATTGTGTTCTGACTGCCGTTTCACTGCATCGGGGCTTCATTTTCTTTAGCAAAAAAATGTGTTATTCTTTTGCTAATGATCTTAGGGAAAAATCACATAATCTCCTACTAGGTTACCTGAGAAGATGATTGGAGGAATTACATCTAGAAAATTCTTAGATAAATGCAAGTGATTCCAAAACTTTTTTGTCTAATTTAGGATTTCTAAATACGTGTATATGAGAACAATAGAGATATTCATTAAAATGAAATCAAACAAAACAAAAATTGGGCAATGAAAACATGTTTTTCAAGGATGGACTAATTCTCTTACAAGGCATAGTCTACAGCACTTCCTGTGGTAGGCAAAATAATGACCACCCAAAGATGTCCATGCCCTGATCCCTGGAACCTATGACTATGTTACATGGCAAAAGGGACTTTGCACATGGAATTAAGATTAATAATCAATCAGCTGATCTTAAAGTAGAGAGATTATCTAGGCGAGTACAATGTAATCATGTGGACCCTTAAAAGTGGAAGAAGAAGGCAAAAATGTCAGTGAGAAAGAGATGCAGCAGAAGATAAATCAGGAAAGATGAGGCTCCAGAAGGATCCCATTCAGCTGCCACAGTGTTCACCTGTAATCTCAGCTGCCTGGGAGGCTAAGGGAAGAGGATGCCTTGAGCCCAGGAACTTGCAACTGCTGGTGAAGCTACTATCACGTCACTGCACATGAACCCGGTAGGTGAAGGTTGAAGTGAGCTGAGATTGTGCCACTTGAAAGAATGACTTTCAAGGACTGGAGAAAGACGTCTAGGACCTAAAGATATATCTGAGCTGACAGCCAACAAGGAATCTCAGTCCTGCAACCACATGGAACTGAATTCTGCAAATAACCTGTATGTCCCTGGAACAGCGTTTAAAATGGAAATTGGCTCTCCCTGCCAATTTGATTTTAGCCTTGTGATATTTAGAGCAGACAAACCAGTCAATCCCACTGGATTTCTAACCAACAGAACTATGAGATTAAAAAAATATGTTATCTCAAATTGCCAAGTTTGGAGTAATTTGTTTCAGCAGAAATAGACATCGAACACACCTAGTAGTTCTGCAGCACTGGGCAAAAAAGTGCTTAGGAGAGCTATAGAAAACAGAATCCTGGACTAGAAATCCCTTCCTGACTTACATTTTTACTTTTCAATTTTTGAATGTAAATCTCAGTTACTACTAATGGGTACAAAAATACAGTTAGATAAAAGAAATAAGATCTAGTTTTCATTATCACAATAGGGCAACAATAATTAACAATCTTTTTTTGTATTTCAAAATAACTAGAGGAGTATATTTAGAATGTCCACAACACAAAGAAATGATAAATGTTTGAGGCAGTGAATATCTCAATTACCCAGATTTGATCATTACATATTGTACACTTGTATCAAAATACCACATGTGCCCCATAAATATATACAACTGTTATGTATCCATAAAAATAATAAAAAAATAAATAAATAAAAAATAAAAAGTGAAAAATTGTAAAAATCTTAGTAATAACAACTTTCAATTAGTAAAGTCTTTCAATAAAATCTCAGTACAAACAACTGTTAAATAAACAATACATGCCAGATATAAATTCTAAGATAAATGGAGTATATTCAGACTCTTGTTTTATTCAATGAAAATGTCTTGGCTCTGTGACATATTATTGAAATTATGTGGCATTTCTGAGACATATTCATTCTGAGATATATTCATTTTCTTCTGCTTTTTCTATTAATCCCGGAATGTCTTAAAATGGAAGAAGCAGATGTCTGTCAAAGACTACTTGGGGCTTAGGTGCGGCGACGTCTCAAGCCTGTAATCCCAGCACTTTGGGAGGCCAATAGGGGGCAGATCTCCTGAGGTCAGGAGTTTGAGACCAGCCTGACCAACATGGTGAAACCCTGTCTCTACTAAAAATACAAAATTAGCCAGGCATGGTGGTGCACACCTGTAATTCTAGCTACTCAGGAGCCCGAGACAGGAGAATCACTTGAACCCAGGAGGCGGAGGTTGCAGTGAGCTGAGATCACACCACTGCACCCCAGCCTGCGCAACAGAGTGAGACTTCATGTCAAAAAAAAAAAATGACTACTTGGGGAATCTTTATCACAGACATCATGGATCATGGGATGGGACACTGGATAGGTTTCAATCACTGTCTTCATCCAGTTATACTCTTTTATGTTTTGAGACGGAGTTTCGCTCTTGTTGCCCAGGCTGGAGTGCAGTGGCACGATCTCGGTTCACTGCAATTCCTCCTCCCGGGTTCAAGCGATTTGCCTGCTTCAGCCTCCTGAGTAGCTGGATTACAGGCGCTTGTCACCACACCCGGCTAATTTTTTTGTAGTTTTAGTAGAGGCGGGGTTTCACCATATTGGTCAGGCTGGTCTCAAACTGCTGACCTCAGGTGATCCACCCTTCTCGGCCTCCCAAAGTGCTGGGATTACAGTCGTGAGCCACCGTGCCTGGCCCCAGGTATGCTTTTATTAGTATTATTGCTGCACATTTCCAAAAGTTCTATTTTACTTTACTATTTGACTGGTTACATAAGAATTCTGAATCGGTGAAATTTTAACATTTCTATTTTAACAACTATCAAAGCAGGAGACCTCCAAAGGTCTGTCTGGGCAGCCATTGCACAGCCTAAGGCCATCATTTGAAAGTAAATACACCACAGATAGAACCCTCATTCCAGTCTATGAATTCTGGAAAATTTTTCAATGCATATTTTTTTTAACAGAACTGAGTATAAGTGGGGCTCTACACACACACAAAAAGACTTAACAAAAAAGCTGTAAAGCAAGCCTTTTGTGTATTTAACTAAAAAGAAAATAAAAAACAAAATAATATTTAAAAACGATTTTCTTCTCAAAACTTCCTTTCTCTTTCTAAGGTGGCAGAAAGTTTCTCGAAGTTTAGACCTTAGCACAGAGACAGTGGTCTACAGTGTTTGGTTTGAGGATTCCATCCTCAATCGGCCAGCACAGTAGTCCCCATTCAGCCAGCACAGTAGTCCTCACTTAGCCAGCACAGTAGTCCTGAATTTAGTTCCTTGCTTTGATACACAAGAGATTTAGGTTTAATCTCTCAAATCCATTTTCCACTCCAGAGCTGGCCAAAGCTGAGGAAGTCAACAGATTCAATCTCTCAGATTCTAGGGTGAGAAAGTTTGAGTCATATATGACTTTTCATTGACCCCACTACCCATAGAGGGATGGTCCTATAGTTGTCTGGGAATTGTATTACACGGTTTAAAGAGAACTGACAGCTCTCTGAGCAGATCCTCTCACTCACAGGAAGTTGTTATTTAAACATGAAAATCTTCCCTAACCATGCCCAACCTTTTCAAATGCGAGAAAGGCCTTGGAATTCTACTATAACAGTAGTTTAAAAAATAGCCTACACCTTGCTGTTATAAATGTACCCTTTACACTGCTTCTCATAGTGTTTTCATCCACTTTTTAATAACGTTGTACCTAGAAATGTAAAACGGTTGAAACTCTTAGTTATTTTCTGCATAGACTTAGCCCTTAAAATCTAAAGGAAAGGACCGTTTTTGTAGGTTCAGAGTTAGTCCAGCTAAATTATCAAGGCTTCTCCCCAGTGTTTAGTCTCCTGCTAATGCTCTGACAGTGTTGATGGCCCATAGTGATGTTGACAGGCCACAGAACAGTTCAAATGCAAATGTTTATTTCCATCCAAAGCACCCATATGGATAGGTACAATGAGAAAGTGTTTTTCCCAGAGAATATATAATTGCGACATAATCAAAATATTTCAGGTGACAGAAACACAAAGTCAGACAAAAAGCTTTGATCTTGAGAGCAAAATATAGACTATATAAAACAGAATAAAATGTCTTTTTTTGATATTTTTTCCATGTGGGGGTTTAATCTATTTTTTTTTAATTTTATTATTATTATACTTTAAGTTTTAGGGTACATGTGCACAATGTGCAGGTTAGTTACATATGTATACATGTGCCATGCTGGTGTGCTACACCCATTAACTCATCATTTAGCATTAGGTATATCTTCTAATGCTATCCCTCCCCCCTCCCCCCACCCCACAACAGTCCCCGGAGTGTGATGTTCCCCTTCCTGTGTCCATGTGTTCTCATTGTTCAATTCCCACCTATGAATGAGAACATGTGGTGTTTGGTTTTTTGTCCTTGTGAAAATGTCTTTAATGGAAACAAAGGCGTAGCTTTGAATGCAAGAGCTGAATAATATGGTTGCAGGTTGTTTGCCCAGAATGAGCATGGTAAAATTAAAGTGAAATATCTGTTCATGTAAAACAATCAGAGAAGGCTACACACTTTTTTCCCCTAGCCCTATTATAGAATATCACATTTTATATCTTTGCACCTGGCAAGAATGAACACTTCCTAGTGAAGCATGCCATCTTGTGGCAAATCTACTAATACAATATACTATGCAACGTTATTAATAAAGCTCAAGATTTAGAGTATATTTGAAATTTTAATGGTGCATTAAAACATGTATAATAAAATCCTGTTTATTCAGAATATTTGAGTAACTGGATGTCCTTGTCAACATTTTAAGTAGCTTAGAGATACCACAGATATTAATATTTATATCTATATGGTACTTTTCAAGGCACTGGAAGTTAACAGTGCAAGTTCTGGAGATGGAGTGTCTAGATTCAAACCACAGCTCAATCATTTTCTAGCTGTACAAGCTTGGGTAAATTAGTTTTTCTTAGGATGCTTCCATTTTCTTACATGCAAAATGGGGATAATTTTAGTAACTACATAAGGTTGAGATGATAAATGCGGCATGTAACAAATTCAGGACAGTGCAAGGCAAAGCTAATCTCTCCTTATATGTGGTAATTATTAATGTTATTATTATCTGTGCCCTAAATTATCTGGGATAGTTATTATAAATGATCTTCATATTGTGAATTAGTGTGCAAGGTTTTTATTTAGAGACTCTGAAGAAAAATATGCAGATAACAATAATATTTAAACAGCTCTAATGGTTCAGAGGCTCCCAGACATTCCTCCAAGCACTTCCCACATAGGAATTTATTTCATCCACACAACAATCCTGCAAAGTAGGTGTGATTATCATCCTAGTTTATCAGTAAGAAAATATAAGCATAGAGAACTGAAGAAACTTTTTGAACGTCCACTTAGCTATAATATTAGAGCCAAGATTTAAACACAGATAATCTGGCACTGTAGCTTATCCTCTTAATATCTTAACCACATATTGTCTCCTGATATAACTTATATTTGGGTAACAAGTAAATATTAGAGAGACACTTAAAGGGCATAAAAATTACTAAATTCTTCCAGAAGTACCAGGTTCTTTAAATCTTGTATATTCCATTCCCACATGGGGCCTCCCTTCTGTATTATCATCTATTCTTTCCTTATTTGATGTTGCTAGACTGTATTTTCAAAATGAATTATTTAAAGGTTTCCTATTACTTTAATTTCCAATTTGAACAATCTAATAATGTATTATGTGTCTGTTTTCTTTTCCTTCTCAGAACATTAAACAAAAATAATAGTTTTTCAACTTTTTTAAAAATACTACATCAGCAAAAACCTTCATTCAAATTTTTCACATTAGACAGTTAATAAATATGTATTGAATAATTTATAATTGAGTAAATGAATGAATACTATATTACTTTATCAAATCAACAACAATATGAAAACCACTACGTATTTAAATAACATCTGAAGGTTCTAAAAGCATGTGCACCATCTTCTCATCTCATTCTCTCAGTGGCACTGAAAGGTTAGCAGAGAAATTAGAATTATCTGTACTTCACAGCTAAGAAAGGACAGTGAAGGCTGTTTGCTTTGTTCATGGTAGTCACAAGGCCAAACCAGGGGAAAATTAGAAGTGAAATGTCAGAGCATACATTCAAAATCATAGTGCAAGACAGTAACTTTATGTTTATCATTATTTCTATTGCAAAATAATAATTCCTTATCAGTGTGTTTGGGAAGTAAGGTGTTGCTAAACAGCTGTTTTCCAACTTTGTTTTGTTGTTGGGGAAATGCTTTTTTTCTGTTCTATTTTATCTTGTATTTTCCTTTTATATGAGAAAAGTCTGCAAAACCCATTCTTCCCTTTCAAAAGAAAAAACAAGTCCCTCAGGAAGGAATTAAAAAAAAAAAAAAAAAAAAAAAAGAGTCTCAGAATGGCCCTTCAAAGTTTGCCTTGAGAGGAAATTGAAAAGTGGGTGGTTAAAGGAGAGTAAATTTTACATTTCCAAACACAGGTCACTTTTATCTTTTTACATTATGTTTTGATCTACAGTGATACTTTAAGAATATACAGAAAAAATGGCTTGTGTGACTGATGTATCAATTACCACAAGGGAATGAACTTTAATGTTACCAGAAGTTCCAAACAGTGGAATGACTGTGTGAAAAGAAAGGGAGGTTTATACATTGGTTCTAAAGAAAGAAAATAACGGGAGAGCATTCCTAAGGTACACTAACTGATGTCAGGATCTCATATAATGTGGAGGTACAGTTGGATATTTCTTGAGATTAGTAAGATTTTCTTCATGCCATTCCTGAATGAAAGATGGAATCAGATCAAGCTGTCGTTTTTATTAATAATGGGTGTATATCTGAACACTTTCTCTTTGACAGGGACTCTTTTGTGGCCTTACTTTATTTTTCTGCATTCTAGCTTTGACCTAAATGTCTCCCCTTCATACTTAGCATCTTTTCTGATGACTGAATGGGACCTCGTAACAGCTCAATTCACTACGTGGGAAATGTTGGCCAATTTTGGAGGGCTTTACGTTACTAAATACAATCCTGGAAACTTTAAGCATTTGAAAAGTCTTTTAAAATGATTACTTACTATTTGGATAGGATACAAAAGTGCCACACATTTCTCACCTCTTCATGAGAAGGACAGACATTAAAATTTAACAAATATTGTTTTTGTGTTTTCTTCCATGATAGAGATAAATGAAAAAAATTAATGATTTATAAATGCTTATTAGCATTGTTCATGAAATCTTTCTAGTAACAGTTCTAATAATCTCTACCCCATGCCTCTTCAATTTCAGATAAAATTTTACCAAGAGATAATATTTTAGTATGCAGTTAGACTTTCATAAATATGTTATTTAAAATTTATGTTTTCCAATAATTTCACTCTAACTGCTGTCAACTGACATTTTTTGACTATAGAAGTAAGTAGAATTATCTTCTTGAACATTTCTGTTGGTTTACTTCTGCATTGACAGTTTCTATACCTGTTTGGAAAAGTGGCAGATAAACCAGTTTACTAAAGAGTTCAGTTAACATTCAGCATATACTGATGGTCAAAAAATTAAATGTTTTAAGGGGAAAAAGGCACAGCTTTTCTGATATATTGTTTCTTACAAATGAACTAAGTAATATGTTCTGCAAATGGGTAGAATTAAGATAACAGCTCTCATGTGTCCAAATATACTTCACTCAAAAAATGATATTATAATTTTCCACTGTTCAGTTTTCATGTTTGTATACTGGAACCAGTAGAGCTATATATTACTTACAGATCACGAAAGCCAAAGGAACACATACTTGCATTTGGTGTGCTTCCAGTGCAAAATGCCTTTGCACTGGAGGAGTTCACACAGAATTGCACAGTATTCATCGGCTCACAAAAATGTAATGTGCCAAATCAGCATAGAAATATCTTGCCAAGACGAACTCAAGACAAAATGTTAGAATGTTTAGTGTGAAACTAAATATTTCAAATATTTTTTTCATGAGCAAAGCAACATCTGTAATTGGAAACTGTATCATCACTGATGATACAAAATGAAAGGATTAAAAAATAAAAGTTTACATTGTTTTAAAATACTATTAACTCAATTAATTAGAGTTAGTAATTCCAAGTGGCTAATGTGGAGATTATTTCCCTTCCTTCTTTCTTTTTTGCTTATTTCATTTGTTTTTGTTTGTTTGTTTTTGGAATACTACTTTAAAATATCCTAGGCATACAGACCTTTCTTTTTTTCACTGATTAAAAGTCATTATTACACAAATACATATTTTGCAATCAACTACATCCCAACTTGCTTTCAGATTTTCTTCTAGCTAGTCTTATATGAGGATCTGTGCAACTGCTCTCCTCCAGTGGAAGTGGACAAAAATAAAATTAAAAATCAACAAACAGCAACAGAATAAAGGATGAAATTGTATGTGTCAACATGACTGGGTCAAGGGATGCTCAGATAACTGGTAAAATATTATTTCTAGGTGTGTCTGTTGAGGTATTTCCAGAAAAGATTAGCATTTAAATCAGTATACTGAGTAAAAAAGACCTGCCTACACTAATGTGGGCAGGTTGAGGTCCTGGATAAAACCAAAAGGTGGAAGAAGAAAGAAATTTCCCTAACACTCCTGAGCTGCAACATTCATCTTCAGCTCTCAGGTATCAGAGCTCCCCACCAATGCACATGTCTTTCCACATCCCCTTCCAGTTTTTAGGCCTTGGGTCTCAAACAGAGAATTACACCATTGGGTCCCCTGGTTCTCAGGCCTATGGACTCAGACTGAATTACGCCACTGGCTATCATGGCTATCCAGCTTGCCTATTGCGAGACTTCTTGGCCTCCATAATTGTGTGAACCAATTTCAATAATAAATGACCTCTCCTCTATCTATCTCTCTATCTTATCTATACTATGGACTCAGACTGAATTACGCCACTGGCTATCATGGCTATCCAGCTTGCCTATTGTGAGACTTCTTGGCCTCCATAATTGTGTGAACCAATTTCAATAATAAATGACCTCTCCTCTATCTATCTCTCTATCTTATCTATATATCCTATTGGTTCTGTTTCTCTGGAGAACCCTAATTTAAACATCTGATTGTGGACCAACCACATCGTCTCTGAAGGATCAAAAGTCACCCTTGTACATAAAGTAAATCATCAAATCTTTGTCATATAAATCAGGATGTCTTTAAATATCTACAAAAAGGTATATGTAAAACACTAAGAACTACAAAATAGATTTGATTGATTAAAATCTTTATCAGTGGTTCTCAAAACATAGTCCTTGGAAAAAAAGCATGAGTATCACTTGAAAGCACTTTAAAAATGCAAATTTTCTAGACTCCTATCAAACCCACTGAATCAGAAGCTTGTGGGCAGAAACCAGAAATCTGTGTTTTATCCAATCACCTAGGTAATTCTCAGATACATTAAAGATTGAGAACTTCTACTCTAAAAATACTACAGCAATGATTTTTTTTTCATTAGTTATCCCTGTATAACTGGAATTTTGGTAAAAAGTCATTACCTTACATGCCTTTGTTTTCCACTTCAGCTCTGGATAGGAAGGACACAAGGAAGTTATCATTTCTGCAAATCTGTTTCTTTCACATTACAGAAATTTATACTGGTTTTAACAATTGTTTTCTAACCAGATTTTTAGGAATTATTAAAATATAATTGCATACTTCAAACAGCCAAAAAGTTTATGTCAAATAATCACTTTTTAATATATACTTAGAATATTTTGAAAAATTCTAACCAGTATTGTGGAGTTATAATTAATTACGGGATGAATTGTATTTTTGGTAAACTTTCCACATGACTTGTTAATTTTGTTAGTGGAAAGGTGTGAGTCTTTGCATTTACTTTAAAAATTTAGACCCAATAACAAATGTTGAAAGAAAGAGACAGAGAGATAGTTCACATTTGTCGTAGAAGCACTTTATTTTCAGAAAATAAACTGTGTGCTGACTAAAGAATAACTATAATGAAATATATTATGATAGTGTAGGCAAACTTTTGAAAAGCTAGGTAAGCCAGGTAGCTTAGCAAGAAATTCGGTTTACTATCAGAAGGAATGATCACTATGCTACTAAAAAAATAGAAAGTGTTTTATAGATTTTTAATAGAGTATACAGTTATATCCAAAAATACAAAATCATATTATAATTTCAACCCTGTCACTTTCCAAAAGGTATTTGGAATAATCAGAATTAGCCAAAGTGGATAATTAGTAAAGGCTGCAATGACTCCATTTCTTCCAGAAACCAGTACAAGCTTTAAGAGTTTTATTTCACCATGATGTGCTAAATATTATGTGTTTAGTCTTTTCATTATAACCTATTTTGGGTGTGAATCCACTCGAGTTTCAGTGTCTCTTAAGGTAAAAGTAAGTCCTTGGCAGAATGTATTTGGCAAACTGGGCTCCATTCTATGTACAGCTAAGAAAACCCTGAAAATGTCCTTT
Source organism: Homo sapiens (assembly GCF_000001405.40). Taxonomy (NCBI): domain Eukaryota; kingdom Metazoa; phylum Chordata; class Mammalia; order Primates; family Hominidae; genus Homo; species Homo sapiens. The sequence continues at coordinate 85,835,861 of NC_000007.14, forward strand.
CTAATAGTGGGTCAGGTCAAGATTACCTTCCCATATAATACTTCCTATTGCATTTATAAATTATAATTTTCTCAGAGCATTTTCCTGCTCTGTAGATTTAAATATAATATCTCCTAAAATATTATATTTTATGAGTATAACTCCAAAATTTGTTTCCATATAAAATATTTTCATTGTAAATCTACAAAGGGTAAAGTATGGAATTATTCGAAGTTATCTTACTCCATTTGTCTATATATGTGAAATACCAATTTCTCTCAAGATCTTCATGTCATATATGTCATAGATAAGTAACTAAATAGTGAAAAACTAGCAAGAGTACTGGTATAGCAGTTTTCTGTACAAAAACTACAGACAACTGTTATAGCAGTTTATTTTTATAGTAGGATATACCATATAATGGAAATAAATGTTGATTAGCTGCCATAGAATCCTAGAATTTTGAGTAAAATTTTGAAGCTAAGAAGTAACTTTGAATTCATGTAGTATTACTGCAGTGGCGCAATCTCAGCTCACTGCAACCTCCGCCTCCCGGGTTCAAGCGATTCTCCTGCCTCAGCCTCCCAAGTAGCTGGGATTACAGGTGCGCGCCATCTTGCCTGGCTAATTTTTTGTATTTTTAGTAGAGACAGGGTTTCACTGTGTTAGCCAGGATGGCCTTGATCTGATCTTGTGATCCACCTGCTTCGGCCTCCCAAAGAGCTGGATTACAGGCGTGAGCCACTGCGCCCGGGCGTATAGTTGTTTTTAACCAAGAAGGCACTTCAGAAGCATGTGGGTAGTGTTTTACAACATATACTATACTATACACATTATATCGTAGGATATATATATTTAATTAATAGACCTGGGATAATGATAGATAGTTGGTTAAGAACCACTAATTAAATTATGTATGTTTATTTTATTGATAGGAAAGTTCAGAAAACAAATTGGCTTCTTGGTATGTATAGCAGCTGGAGTTAAACTAAATTTTCTAACCTGATTATTGGATATTTATTTATGCTTCACATTATTTTGCATTCTCATTGATTTAATTATTAAAATCATATCACAGTAAAGGTAAAGATACTGTCTTGATTAAAAGAATATGTTAATATAACTGGAAGTTATCATTTTTATTATTTGGGGCGATTACAAATCTTGTCTTTCCCCAGCCCCCTTTCTAATCCCATATGTTCAGTTTTATTGAAGCTAATCAAATGCTTTCCAGACTTGTTCGGTTTCCTCATTTAGTTTGAGTTCCCTTTCTCCTCACATCAGGGTTCATATTTCTTCTCTCGATCTTTCTACTCTTTATCCTTTCCTTCTCCTCTTTTCACTCCTCCTCCTTTTGGTTCTTCTTCATTACCTATTTTGTGTCTTTTGGTTTCCATTTACTTTTGTTTCTTGCCTTTTCAAATAAAAGCCTGACAACAACAACTTGTTTAGTTTTAACCAGTGGACAAATAGAACACTGGATATAATGGAGGCCTTTACTCCTCTCTTCTGTTTTATTTACTTTCTTCTCTTTAAAGAAGGACTCTTTGTGGCCTTTGTTCCTCCTACACTTTCCTCTTTCATTTATACATTTGGAGCTTTTCAGTTACGGGAAGCATATAGACTTCTAGATAGTTGATTTAGCCACATTTTATTGTAATACCTTCCAGGTAACTAAGATGATATATGGAAACATAGAAAGGCATTTTTATATTTTAAACTAATTTTAATATTTCTTATAGTTAAATATACTTTATTTTACTCTCAATATTCCTGAATTGACATATGGCTGCTTTTTATTTTGCATACATTTCTGATTACCATACCTTTGTTTTACTTCTTGCTTTTTTTCATTTGGATGTGTAAGGAAACATAATCATTGCATATATACCATATCGGGAAACGACTTAGCAAATTAATTTTCATTTTATTGCTTTTTCTCATCAGCAACATTAACAGAAGAAAAACTAATTTATAGACATAAGTGTATTTTCATATTTTGATGGAATAACTACAAATACATTCAAGCAAAATAAAAAGTCAATTTTTAAAAGGGGGTTCAGTGAGATGTTTTCCTGGGGTGGTTTCTCATTTCTAATTATTTATTGCCAACAATTGAAAATACCTAAGTCCATTTTGATTTAGGACTTTACATCTATCCTGTTCATTTACAAGAACTCTGTAGCTAAGATTACAAAAGATAAAATTCTAATGTTCATTTAAGCACGTAATAGCTTTTTAAATGGTTATATATTTGAAAAGACATTTGGATCCCATTAAAAATGAAATTGAAGCTATGAAAATTGAAAGAAAGAAAAAACTAATCCATTGGATAAGTGTTTTCTTAAGTGCTTTTAACTCCACCCAATTCAGATAATACTGTGTGTCCAAGGTTTCCTTTAAAAGATTTGAATTATAAAAAACAGAACTTAAGTTTAATATCTCTTTCATAATTTTATTTTTCCCACTTCATGTCTTTGGTTATATTTAGCTTTTACTAATTAAAAAAATCCATATTTTTTTTAAATGAAACAACAATAACCCAGTGGCAGAATTGAAGAATGGTCACTTTTCCGGGCTCTGACTGTAAATAGATTTTCCAAATAACCCCAAATACCTCATTAGTGACAAATACCACATTTTTTACCTGAGAATATCACGGGTAAACTACTCAATTTCCCTACCCCTCATGGAACACCAAACAAAAGTGTGATTTAATTTACCATTATATGAAATGCAAAACTTATCCTCTGAATTTTAAGTATATGTAATTTATTACTAATCTAGTTGTTAATGTTTCAAGGCTACTAATGAATTGTGATTATATATATGTATATATATATGTATATATCACATTTTTTATTGGAGTAACTAATATGGTCACAGAGAGAAATATTTTTCCCTCATTTGTCTTTTTCAATTTTCAAAGAATAACTGAATCTATGAGCTGGAGGGAGTGTTTGTTAGAAAGAGCTAACTCAGCTTTGTCACTAGTGTGGCTGCTTTTGTTATAGTAACTCTTCCATCCATGGCCTGAACTGTTCCTGTGATATCAAACATACATTTCCCAGAAAAGCTTATTTCCATATTAGAATCTGCTATTTTCATAAAATTATTTCTATATTAAGCTGAAATATATTTAAAATATTAGCTCCATTATTCCTAGGTTGTTTATTTGGAGTTTTATTTGGATATAATAAGTTGAATCCCTCATTATATTTGTTGAAGATAAATATCTGTCCTCATTAAGTCCTCTAATATTTACATATAACATTGCCAACTTCTTCAAGTTTATGTAACAGTGAATAGAATTTTTATCATTTAGAATCTTTAACTGATTATTATATTGCAAATATTCATTTAAGTACAAGATAAAAGATACTGCTGTTTCCATAGTTTTGTACAGCATGAAATTTAAAATCTCATTTCTCCTGACTGTATATATTTACCATAATGCATCAAACTGTATATTTAAAATAAATAAATGTTATCATATGTATATCATGCATCAGTAAATTTTATAAATACACACACACACGTGTACATGAATCTCTCTCTCTCTGTCTATAGTGATAGCTCCTGTTCCATTCCACCTTTTCCATTATTATTATTTTCTTTCATTGTTTTCATAAGCTATCTAGAAAATAGGCTAAAATAAAACTGAATTTCTCATCCACTTGATGAATATAGTGATGTTCAAGGCAGAAAAAAAGGATTAGAATAATAAAATAGTAAAGGTTGAAATATACAGATAATCTGAAATGCAGGAAAATACTTATTTTCAAGTGTTCATAGACTAGCTACAAATATTAAACATGATTTAGCATAAGAATAAAATATCTATAAATTTAAAAGGAAACACAATAATAATAAAGTTTACTTTTTAATTAAAAGAAAAGCCTAACATTTTAAAATAAATAAGCATGTTTTGAAACTCTCCTAGTTTACCGCTGGGTAAAAAAGGAATAAAAACTAGAATTCCTGATTATTTTAGAATTGTACGCATCAAAAACTACAAGGTATAGATAAAGCTCATACCAGAAGAAATTTTTTGCCTTAGTTCATCATTAATTTAAAAATAATAAAATAAACTAAGTGTTAATAAAATAATATGAAAATTAAAAACAAGAAAGCAGGCTTATTGAATGACAAAACAAGCAAAAAATAATAAATTACAAAACATGAAAAGAATAAACTTAGAGAACAAATCTTAGATTTGTTTTATTTTGTGTGTGAGTATAATACCATAACATAGAATTAATGTTTTAGAGTA